>NC_000023.11:147505909-147808939 GCF_000001405.40 Homo sapiens
AGATACACAATACAGAAAAAGCAGATTGTTGAGGTTGAAGAAAGTGGTGAGTTTAGTTTAGACACTCCCAGTTTTAGTTGACCGTAGAACATCAAGGTGAAGTACTGTATGCAAAACGGCATCCACGGACATTTGCAGAGATCTTTTAGTTTTTTAATTCTGTTTTTACTGTGATGGCAAATTATAGAAATAAGCATTTTTGAGATCATTTAGTGAAAGTAATTAAATAATAAATGATACATTCAAGCCAAGTGAAAGCCAAGTGATGTCGTGGCAGTTCATTATGTATATACAAAAAGTTTCATCATGATTTAAAAAGAGAAACATAGTGGAATGGAGCCATCATAGGGCACGCAGTATAGGCAAGATGAACTCAAAAAAATCTGGCCTTTAGCGGTCAGCACCATATCCATAGTGAAGAAACCGAGTTTTATTTTGTTTTTTTTAATTATCTGTTGCATCATGCTGTGACTTTGTAGTCTTCATTATATTTAATTGGAATTTTTTGTTTGCATTAATTACAAAAAGCACATAAATATACATACATATAGGATTGATTTTTTAAAGTATCTTATAAGTATCATATACAAAAAATAAGAGTTATAGCACTTGGGCATCTATATGAATTTTTTCCTCTAGAAAGAATTGAAACATTACTCAAGTTAACAAAACAAATGCCAGAAATATTAGGTTAAAGTTCAAGACAGATTTAAATTGAAGACACATTGATAATGATAGAGCTATTTGGAAAACAAATATTTGTTGATCATATTAAAGCCATGAGGCTAGCGCTGAGGATAAGTATAGAACAAGAAAAAGCCTATTACTGAAGCTTGAGGGCTGCTAACATTCAGAACTGAAACAGTGAAGGAGGTGGAGAAGGAGCAGCTATAACGGTAAAGGGACAAACAACATAGTATGGTGTAGTAAAGACTAATAAAGGGGACATTTTAAGAATGAAGTAATGGTCCACAGTTGCAAATGCTGCTGTGAGGCCATGTTAGAAAACGACTTGGAATATGACTGTCAGCTCTGGCTAAGTCCTTCCAGTTCCCAGACAGAGGAACACTTGTTCTCCACCCTCAAATCATTCCTACTTAGGGTATATAAGCTACCAGCTAAATATCAATTATCAAATATCACTTACAAGCTAAACATCGAGTAAGCCTTAAAATTAATAATTACCCCCACTGCAGCCTTGCATGCTGGCTCTTATAATGAGTTTGTATCTTTTTGTAACACAGCCCCGTACCACCTGCCCCCCTCGTGGCACCAGCTTGATATTGACACTCGCCTTCCTGAGTTTTAATGCCTGACTCTTCTGACATTCAGCCTATTTTCCAAAACTTTTGCTATGGGCTGTTTTGGTGTCTCCTTTAGTCTGCATCAATAGATCAGTTTGGCTTACAGAATTTAGCCCCTGTCCTTACTCATTTTTCTAATACCAATCACGTATCACTTCCAACATAGAAAAGTTTGTGTGACCTCATTTGGTCTTTATAGATCTCTTTATGATGTCTTTTTCAATTAAGATACTTCCATTTTCCCTGAGCTGCTTTTCCTACTTAATTCCTTTTCTCCTTTTTTACCAACATCCAGTAACAGTAATGAAAAAATGTCAATAACCGAACATCTCCACCAGTATTCAGAATCAAGTCTTCAATTCTGTGCGTTCCTTATATTTTATATTTTATACTTTTCTGCATGCTTTTCTTAGTTCATTCTACTCTATGCCTTTAAATTTAGTTTATTCCAGTGCAATAGCAAAGGGGTGACTATCAACTAAATTGCACTTTCCATTAAAAAATTAAGTAGCTTTTAAAAGAGAGCGAGATGACATATTTTAGCTCAGCCACTGCATTTACTACCGAGTTTGTTTTAAAAGCTCATTGTAGAATTTTAAGACTGTATGTGTAGCTTGTTCATGGGTCATTAGGGCGCACTCTGCAGGCTTCAGCAAGGTGATTTTGTAAAACTCTACTAAAGTTAATGAATCCAAGTTTCATTAAATCATTAATTGCATTCAGTGTGAAACTATGTGGTGTTTCTTTCCACAATTACTGGAAATCACAGCAGAGAAAATGCTGAGAAATTGGAAGGGCAAGTATATACAAGTTAGCAAAGTACAATGTTTTTGTTTCACCTCTTGTTGACCTTGGGCATTGTCCCCACAGGATTTTAAAGCAGCCTTGAGAGCATCACTTGCCGGGAAATTCCACTGGAGTGAATTCCAAACTATAGAAAAATCATGCAAGATCATTGCCATTTAGGTCTGACATACTTCAGGTTGCTCCAAACTTGGATATATCTCTGAATTTCTAATTGTGAATTATGTTTATCTTCAAAAGTACCAATAAAATCATATACAAAAGTCAGAAGAACAAGATGTCAGTGTTGTTTTTTTTTTTTTCATATGCTAGAGAAGGAAAAGTTTTCCTTAATCAGGAGTAACTTCTTATTTTGTAAAATGGGACAGATATTCATATTCTGACTACCTGCTTGTGTTTGGGAGGTCAAATGAAATCACATTCTTTTAGGAAGAGGCAGTCCTCCACGGGCGCTGAGCATCCTTCCAAGTTCTTGCTGACAATGTCAAACAGCAAGGCTTATCGGTCTCTTGATACTAAGCTGTTTCTGTGTCTAGTCACATAGGCAACTAAGTAGGCCAAGGCAACCACAGTAACAAGTTTAGTCCTTGCCATTGTCTGTGAAGTTGGGGTTCTTCTCTTAAAGTCCTCAACTCTAAAATCTTCTTTCTCTTACAGTACCATAGCAACCACAGCATCAGTTATCATCTACGTGCTAAGGATCCCAAATTTGTTTCTTCAGATCTTCTAAGTTTCTAGGCCTCATATTTATCTGCCTACTGAATGACTTCCCTGGATGTACTGTTTGCATTAATTACAAAAAGCACATAAATATACACACATGTAGGATTTATATCCATACTAGTAGCTTTTATAACTTCCCATGTATTTACCCTGGATGTCCCACAGGTAACTCCAAGTACACCTGTCCAAAACTAAGCTCATTATCTCCTTCATTCCCTACTCAGATTTGTTCTTTTTTCCGCCATCTACCTTATATTCCTAGTTATAAACCATGCATCATGTTCATTCACTCCTTTCTCGTTATCAAGCCCCCCAATACGCACGTATTCAATTCACCATATTCCTTCATTTCTACCCACTTACTATGTCTCTATTCCATTCCTTCTCCTCCTCCATCCCCATTGCCACCGGTCTAATGTGATCATCTTTTTCTGAAATTCCCTTACTTTCCCTAACAAATGAGAAACTCAATCCTATTTTGGAGATTTACACTTGCTTGTCTCTCTACTTGTCCAAACTGCAAAAAATATCACTAGTGACTGTTTTTCTACTTGTCTCACTAGCATTATCTCTTGCCTTTAGCCTAATACCAGCACCTTATGATCCAAAATATATATATATATATATGTGAATACACATACATACATATACACATGTGTCTGTGCATATGTGTATATATATGTGCATATATATATATGCGCATATATATATGCGCATATATATGTGCATATATATATGCGCATATATATGTGTGTGCATATATATATATAATGTGCTTGTTTCTAAATTTGGAAAGCTGTTTTCTTTTCTGAGGCAGAGTCTTGCTCTGTCACCCAGGCTGGAGTGCAGTGGCACAATCTCGGCTCACTGCAACATCTGCCTCCCAGGTTCAAGTGATTATTCTGCCTCAGCCTCCCGAGTAGCTGTGGGATTACAGGCACCCACCATCATGCCCAGCTAATTTTTGTATTTTCAGTAGAAACAGGGTTTCGCCATGTTGGCCAGGCTGGTCTCGAACTCCTGGCCTCAGGTGATCCACACGCCTCGGCCTCCCAAAGTGCTGGGATTACAGGCGTGAGCCACCATGCCCGGCCTTGGAAAGCTATTCTACTCTTCCTTGCCATCTATGATGCACCAGCCAGATACTGTTCAAGGAAGGACTTTCTTCCCCAGCTGCTAGGAATTCTATGAGTGGACAATCCTCAACTGGCAGCCCCTTCAAGGACTGCCTCAGCTGTAGACAGCTGATCTGTTCAAAGTTCACATCCCTTCCTAGATGAAACTCACATCTAATGACCAATGCAGGCACATAAATATCTGGACACTTCGACCCACGAGTGTCAACTTACAACTCTGCAAGGCTATTCCATCTTCAGAGCTCCTTGTATATACTTCTAGATGTGTATCACCACTGGGTTTCTTCCTCTGAGTAGTTCTTCTTTCTCCTTCCTTCCATAAATATTGAACCCAAGTATTGAACTCCTTAATAAGTAACCTGCACACTGAACTCCAACTCAGAGTCTGCTTCCAAGAAAACCCAACCTGTGACACCATCACACCTGTTATTTCTTTGAGACAGACTGCTCTTTGACCTATCCTCCTGGTGAATACCTAATGATCCCCTAAGAATCAAAACAAGCATAACTTCTTCTGTTACCCTTTCCTTGAATTTTCTCTTTCACTCCACCCCAACCAGTGTAGTTCATAATTACAGAATCCTTTTGTGCTGCCATTATGTTTTGTAGAAAATTAGAAAATCCTGCCAATACAGTAATAACAAAGTATTATATTATTCATTTATCTGCCTGTATCTCTTAATTGGACCTTGTGCTTCTTCATATGAGAATCTACGTCTCACATGTCTTTATATCCCTACAATATAGCACAGTTACTGGCCCATTATAGGGCACAATGACTATTCATAAGATTACAAATTTCAGTGGAGAATGGGGAATGATGTTATAGGTGGAATGGATAACTTATAAAAACGTATCAATTCATGACAATGCATCATGTATTAATATATCAGTTAACAGTCTTTCATTCAACAAATATTTTTGAGTACCTACTATATAACAATCACATTTTGCATGGGGCAACATGAGATGAACAAGACAGATATAGCCTCAGCCCTTATAATTGATCAAAGAAGACAGACATTGAATAAGTTATTAAAATAGTTATAAGTATTAAGAAGGAGAAGTACAGGGAATTATGTGATTACATAGCAGGATGGTCTGATCTACTCTAGGAGGCTTAAAAGAAGACTTAACAGAATAATTATTTTTTAAAGCTGAGGCCTTAATAGTAAGTAATAGCAAGGTGAAGTCTGGAGAAGAATGAATAAAGAAGATGAAATACCACGGCAGGAGGATCACCTGAGGTCTGAGGTCAGGAGTTCAAACCAGCCCGGCCAACATGAGGAAACCCTGTCCTACTAAAAATACAAAAATTAGCTGGGCATGGTGGCAGGCGCCTGAAATCCCAGCCACTTGGGAGACTGAGGCAGGAGAATGGCTTGAACCCAGAAGGTGGAGATTGCAGTGAGCCGAGATCTCGCTACTGTCCTCTAGCCTGGGTGACAGAAAAAGACTCCATCTCAAAAAAAAAAAAAAAAAAGATGAAATAGCATGTGTCATGACTCTAGGCAGCAAAGAGGATGACATATTCAAAGACAAGAAAGAAGACTAGAAAGAAAGAACAAGAACCGTCATTAGAAAGGAAATTTAGAGCAAGACTATTGGAAAATGATTACTAACAGTAACATATTAGAATTTTATTTAGGAAAACTCTGCATCTATTGAAAATAATTTATTCAAACATCAACATGATAATCTGCTGCATTGGTGATAAATTAGAATAAAGAGAGCCTGGACCGGGCACATTGGCTCACTCCTATAATCCCAACACTTTGGGAGGCCAAGGCCGGCAGATCACCTGAGGTCAGGAGTTTGAGACCAGCCTGACCAACATGGAGAAACTCCATCTCTACTAAAAATACAAAATTAGCCAGGCATGGTGGCACATGCCTGTAATCCCAGCTACTCGGGAGGCTGAGGCAAGAGAATCGCTTGAACCCAGGAGGCGGAGGTTGCAGTGAGGCGAGATCATGCCACTGCACTCCAGCCTAGGCAACAAGAGTGAAACTCCATCTCAAAAAAGAATATATACATATATATATATATATATATATATATATATATATATATATATAGAGAGAGAGAGAGAGAGAGAGAGAGAGAGAGAGAGCCTGGAGGCAGAGGAACTGTCTAGAATGCTGTTTATTCACTTATTTATAATTTCAAAAATATATTTAGGTGTGAAATTATCATGGTCTGGACTAAGACAGTGGCAAACAGGATGGACAGAAGGTTTTATGCAATAAAGATTTTTGTAAAGTGCAATTGGAAGACTCAGTGATTTGTTAAATACAGAAAATGAAGAAACGAAACAGCCATTATGGAAAACAGTATACAGGTTTCTTAAAAACACTAGAAATATATCAACTATACAATCCTGCAATCTCACTACAGGGTATTTATTCAAAAGAAAGGAAATCAGTCATCGAAGGGATAACTGCACCCCCATGTTTATTGTGGCACTATTCAGAATAGTCAAGATATGGAATCAACATAAGTGTCCATCAGCAGACACATGGATAAATAAAACATGGTGTATACACACAATGGAATACTATTTTGCCACAAAAAGAATAGGATCCTGTCATCTGCAGCAACATGGATGAGCCTGGAGGACATTATGCTAAGTGAAATAAGTCAGGCACAGAAATATAATATGTTAAGTTTCCATTCATATGTGGAAGCCAAAAAGTTGATCGCATAGAAGTAGATAGTAGAATAGTGGGTACTCTAGGCTGGGAAGGGTAGAAGGAAGGGAAGGGGAAGAAGAGGTTCATAGCTACAAAATTATAGGTAAATAGGAGGAATAATTTCTGGCATTCTATAGCCCTGTAGGGTGATTATAGTTAACAAAAATTTACTCTATATTTTCAAATAGCTAGAAGAGAGGATTTTGAATGTTCTCAACATGAAAAAATAAATATTACTTGTTAGAGGTGATAGATATGCTAATTATCTGATTTGATCATTACAAATTGTATTACATTACACAGGTTTGGAAATGTATTACACATTGTAATACACATTGCAATACAATACACATTGTATTACACATTGCAGTACAATACACATTGTATTACACATTGCAGTACAATACACATTGTATTACACATTGCAATACAATACACATTGTAATACAATACAATGTAATACAATGTGTACTGTATTACAATTAATACAATACAATGTATTACAATTATTACAATGTAATTTTTGTATTACATCGTAATTGTAATTTTTTGTAATTGTAATTAATTACAATTACAATTTTGTAATTGTAATTGTAATTAATTATAATTACAATTTTGTAATTGTAATTTTGTATTACAATACAATGTATTGCAATTAATACACTACAATGTAATACAATACACATTGTAATACACAATTACACAATGTAATACAATACACATTGTATTACATTACACA
Organism: Homo sapiens; assembly: GCF_000001405.40. Classification (NCBI taxonomy): domain Eukaryota; kingdom Metazoa; phylum Chordata; class Mammalia; order Primates; family Hominidae; genus Homo; species Homo sapiens. The sequence goes on from NC_000023.11 coordinate 147,513,309, forward strand.
GGTTTGGAAATGTCACACTGTGACCCATAAATATGTACAATGATTACGTGTCACTTAAAAAAAGAAAAGAAATAAAGTGAAAAATGTCTTGGATTGTCTTGTAGAATGTTTGAGGTGCAATAAAGAGTGTTCCTCTCCTAAGACAAGTACATGAATCAAGAACTAAGACACAATCAGTTGTTTATTGATGATAAACATGATTTGCTCTTTATATCGAAGTCAACATATACACTATGGCAGTAAGATCTCATGTTTTGGCCGGGCGCGGTGGCTCACGCCTGTAATCCCAGCACTTTGGGAGGCCGAGGCGGGCGGATCACGAGGTCAGGAGATCGAGACCATCCTGGCTAACAAGGTGAAACCCCGTCTCTACTAAAAATACAAAAAATTAGCCGGGCGTGGTAGCGGGCGCCTGTAGTCCCAGCTACTCGGGAGGCTGAGGCAGGAGAATGGCGTGAACCCGGGAGGCGGAGCTTGCAGTGAGCCGAGATCGCGCCACTGCACTCCAGCCTGGGCGACAGAGCGAGACTCCGTCTCAAAAAAAAAAAAAAAAAAAAAAAAAAAAAAGATCTCATGTTTTCACCTACCAAGTTTGGGTTATTCATTCAGCTAATACTTATTTATTGAACCCTAACTGCCATATGCCAGTCACTAGGCCAGATAGCAAGGATAGAGTATTAAAAAAGAGATTCATTTCTGCCATCACAGAGCTTTTCACCAAATAATCTGTTAAATTTATATTCCAATGATTTCTTGTTTGTGTATTTTTCTTTATTTTGAGGAATTTGTATCATGGTATGGGCTGTAAATATGTGTTACCTTGTTAAATTGTAAAGCGACTAGGAGAGATGTATGCATTGCCACTGTTTTCAATACTCACTTTATATCCATTCTTCCTTATAGTAACAGAAAATCTGTTTAAAAGAGCTTTGCCAACTGATTCCCAACACTTAGCCAAGTTGTTATGATCAAATAAACATAGGCATTTTCAGCATGGAGATTGCTTTTTCAATTAAAATCAGTGATGATTATTTTAATATACACTTCTCTTTAGAGAGATTTCTCCAATACAGTATGTGTTGCTAAATGAAGTGTCTACCTATTGGTTAGGTACAATGTTGAGCATATAGAAAAGGTAAAATGCTCAACCCAGGTAAGAAAAAGAAGAGTGTATCTATTTATTGCTCCATATCCTTTGACTTACAGAACTTGTTATTGTGATCTCCAGAAAGGACTGTGGTGGTGACTTGTCAGGCCTCTCTCTGGTGATACACTTGCAACCCTAAGGCTTTGGTGGGACCATTTAAAAGTAGCGAGTTTGCCATATACTCTTACTATCCAGCCTGAAAAGGTGGCTACCAGGAAAAAGAAGGCCCCAGGTTCCTCTTCTGGTCATAATTGAAGATCAAACAGAAAACTGATACATGAATGCCTTCACTGGAATGTTGGTTTCAATTGTGAAATTGAAATCTCTGTAAAATGATGGATGAAACTGTATGAAAGATTCATTCATAAATTATAAATTATAAGCTATAACTTGTATTTATTTATAAATTATAAATTGTATACAATTTATAATTATACATAATTATAAATTATATGCTATAACTTGTATTTATTTATAAATTATAAATTATAAGTTATAACTTGTATTTATTTATAAATAAATTATAAATTACTATAAATTATATATTACCTATTCATTTCAAAATGCTTACTATATTTCTCCCAGTAGGAAGATTAATAAGAAACCCTCATGCTTTCCACCAATCAGTCTGGATGGTAAGCTACGTAATCATATTTTCTAAAATCTAATATATTTTTCCTTTTTGAACCATTCCCATATCCATTTGTTAGAGACAGCAGAGAACAAAGACAGAAGCAACATGGTTTCCAGAAAAGCTGCAACAGGCCTGGAGTGCCTACCTCCATATTCTTTATTATGTGAAGAAATAAAGCTCTTAAGTGCCATGATGTTTGTTTTGGGGGTAGGGGTGGGTGTTTCCTATATTCAGCCAAATACAATCACTATAGTAATAGAAAGACATCATCCAGGACAAGAGTTTTTCCTAAACATGCACATTTTAATTTTTAAAAAAATCCAAATACGCACATGATTTTTAAAAGCCTGCTTAATACATGAACATGATATACAACCCAAATAATTTGTAAAGGGTGTACAGTAAAAGCTCAGTCTTCTTCCTACCCTCCACACTAACTCTCCTAATTCGGCTCCACAGGGGCAACTAATAAGTTTCTTCCGCACCTTCCAGGAATTTTCTATGCAAACTAATCCTATGCTGAAGCCTGCTATACACATATTTTTTTACCTTGAATTTTATCATTTAAAATGTATCTCCATATTATAAATCACTAGACTCATATTAATGGCTGCATATTACATTATATGGGATATATTGTCGTTTGACATGTCCCCTTTTAATGTACTCTGTGGACAATTAAGTTGCTTCTACTCTTTTGCTATTATAAACAATGCTACAGTGTAGTAGCATACCAAACATAAGATGGGACAGTGGGAAGAATGAGGAAACCTTGACAGGTGGTGTTTTAACACTGGCATAATTTAAAATTAGATGTATGTGATGCTAATAAAAACAGACTAACATTTAGTCAATTTATTATCGTTCAATTTCCTACCAACAAGGTATTCCCTTCTCTTTCCTTATTAAGTAACCATTTTAGTAAATAACATTGAACATACTGCTTTGTACATATATGCAAATGTATACGCAGTAAAATTTTGATAGATACTGACAAATTGCCCTCCAAAGTGGTTGCATCAATATACGTTTTCACCAGGAAGAAATAATAATGTCATATTTCCTACACCTCCAACAATACTGTGAAATGTTGAGCTTATTTGTATTGTTCTATACTGATAGGTAGAAATGGTCTTTTTTAATTCACATTTTTATTATGCATAGCGCTTAGTATCATTTCACGTTTATAAACTGCTCTCCCTGTCAATTATCTCCTCATGTGTTTTATTTTTATGGAGACATAATTTACATTTCATAAAATTCACTCACTTAAAGTACATAATTGAATGTTTTTTACAACATTCACATGGTAGTGCAAATATCACCACTATCTGAGAACATTTTCTTCACCCCCAAAATATAGCCAATACTTATTTGCAGTCATTCTCCATTGCCAACTTCCCTCAGATGCTGGCAAGCACAAGTATACTTTTTACTTTATTCCTATAGATTTGGTTCTTGTGAAAATTTCATTAACGTTTAATTATATGATAGGCAATGTTTTGTATCTCAGTTCTTTCACTTAACATGTTATCAGGATTCATTCATGTGGTTGCATCATTCCTTTTCATGGATGATTACCATTCCTTTTCACATCTGTTGAAAAATGTGTTTTCAGGTCCTTTGCCCATTTTTTAATCATGTTATTTGTTTCCTTGCTATTGCATTGAATTCTTTATATATTTTGGATACTCACCACTTATCAGATGTGTGGCTGACAATTCATTTTCTTCCATTCTGTAGGTTGGCTCTTCACTCCATTAAATGGTTTGTTTGTTCTGTGGAATCTTGCTTTGTGGGTTTATACCAAACTAAAGAATACTTTTTTTGCCTAAGCTTTTGGGGTCTAATAAAAAAACTTAAACTTATTGCCCAGACCAATGTTGCATAGCTTTTTTCCTAGGATTTCTTCTAGTAGTTTCACAGTTTTAGGTCTCATGTTTAAGTCTTTAATCCATTCATTAAGGATTTTCACATATAGTGTGAAATAAGAGTCTCAATTCATTCTTAGGCATGTCTATAACCAGTTCTCACAACATCTTTTATTGAGACTGTCTTTTTCCCATCATGTGTTCTTGACAGCTTCATCAAAAATCAGTTGGCTGTAAATGAATGGGTGTGTTTCTGGGTTCTCTATTCTGTTCCATTGGTTATCTATTTTAGCACCAGTGCCATTTTGCTCATATTATTGTAGTTTTATAATATAGTTTGAAATCAGTTCATGTGATGCATATAGCTTTGTTCCTTTTGCTAAAAATTGCCTTAGGTACTCAGGGGTTTTTATGGTTTCCTATGAATTTTAGGATTGTAAAATCATTATTAAAATTAAGTGTAATTATTTTTATTTTGCTGCTTGTGCTTTTGGTGTCTCATCTAAGAAAACAATGCCTAATCTAAGTCATAAAGATTCAGGTTTGCTGAGCGTGGTGGCTCACGCCTGTAATCCCAGCACTTTGGGAGGCTGAGGTGGGCAGATCACGAGGTCAGGAGATCGAGACCATCCTGGCTAACACGGCAAAACCCCGTCTATATAAAAACACGAAAAAATTAGCCAGGCATGGTGGTGAGCGCCTGTAGTCCCAGCTACTTGGGAGGCTGAGACAGGAGAATGGTGTGAACCTGGGAGGCAGAGCTTGCAGTGAGCCTAGATCGCGCCACTGCCCTCCAGCTTGGGCGACAGAGGGAGACTCCGTCTCAAAAAAAAAAAAGGTTTAGGTTTATGTGTCAACTAAGAGTTTTATAGTTTAAGCTCTTATATTCGGGACTTTGACTGATTTTGATTAGATTTTTAAAAATCATTTCACATTATATTTCAGATTCAGGGGGTACATATGCAGTTTTGATATACTGTGTGATGCTGAGGATTAGAGTATGATTGATCCTGTCACCCTGGTGCTGAGCATAGTAACCAAAAGTTAGTTTTTCACCCATATCCAAACCCTTCCATAACCCCTCTAGTAGTCCCCAGTGTCTACTTTTGTCATCTCTATGTCCATGAATACCCAATGTTTAACTCACATATATAAGTGAGAACATGTGGTATTTGGTTTTATTTTTCTGCATTAATTTGCTTAGGAAAATGGCCTCCTGCTCCATCCATCTCCCTGCAAAGGACATTATCTGGTTCTTGTTTTATGGCTGCATAGTATTCTTAAGTATATATGTACCACATTTTCTTTATTCACCATTTCCTTTTTTATTATTATACTTTAAGTTCTGGGGTACATGGGCAGAACATGCAGGTTTGTTACATAGGTATACATGTGCCATGGAGGTTTGCTGCACCCAACAACTCGTCATCTACATTAGGTATTTCTCCTAATGCTATCCCTCCCCTAGCCCTCCACCCCAAGAGGCCCCAGTGTGTGATGTTCCCCTCCCTGTGTCCATGTGTTCTCATTGTTCAACTCCCACTTATGAGTGAGAACATGTGGTATCTGGTTTTCTGTTCTTGTGTTAGTTTGCTGAGAATGATGGTTTCCAGTTTTATCCATGTCCCTGCAAAGGACATGAACTCATCCTTTTTTAAGGCTGCATAGTATTCCATGGTGTGTATGTGCCACTTTTCTTTATCCAGTCTATCATTGATGGACATTTGAGTTGGTTCCAAGTCTTTGCTATTGTGAACAGTGCCACAATAAATATACCTGTGTGTGTACTCACCATTTTCTTTATTCCACCATTGATGGGAATCTAGGTCAATACCATATCTTTGTTACTGTGAATAGTGCTGTGGTTAACATGTGAGTGCATGTCTTTTTTCAGTAGAATAATTTATTTTCTTTTGAGTATATACCCAATAATGCGATTGCTTTGTTGAATGGTAGTTCTGTTTTCAGTTCTTTGAGAAACTTCCAAACTGTTTCCCACAGTGGTTGAACTAATTTGCATTCCTCCCAACTACATATAAGCATTCCCTTTTCTCTACAGCCTTGCCAGCCCCTGTATTTTTTAAACCTTTTAATAAAACTGTTCTGTCAACTACAAAAGGAAGCCCATCAGACTCGCAGAGGACCTTTCACCAGAAACCCTACAAGCCATATGAGATTTGGGGCCTACATTCAACATTCTCAGAGAAAAAAAATCCAACCAATAATTTCCTATCTGGCCAAACTAAGCTTCATAAGGGAGGGAGAAATAAGATCCTTTGAGACAAGCAAATTTTAAGAGAATTTCTTACCTCCAGGCATAGCTCCTGAGAGAAGCACTAAATATGGAAAGGCAAGACCATTATCAGCCACTAGAAAAACACACTGGTGATACTATAAAGCAATCATGCAAAAAAGTCAGCATAATAAACAGCTAACAACACAATGACAGGATAAAATCCATACATGTCAATACTAACCTTGAATGTAAATGGGCTAAATGCCCCAATTAAAAGGCACAGAGTGGCAAGCTCGATAAGGAACCCAGACCCAATGTTATACTTTTTTTTTTTCTTTTTTTTCGGAGATGGAGTCTGGCTCCATCGTCCAGGATGGACGGCAGTGGCGTGATCTCAGCTCACTGCAACCTCTGCCTGTGGGGCTCAAGTGATTCTCTCATGCCTCAGCCTCCCAAGTGGCTGGGATTACAGTCACATGCCACCATGCCCGGCTAATTTTTGTATTTTCATAGAGACGGGGTTTCCCCACGTTGGTCAGGCTGGTCTCGAACTCCTGACCTCAGGTGATCCACCCACCTCGGCTTCCCAAAGTGCTGAGATTACAGGCGTGAGCCACCGCATCCAGCCCCTATGTTATACTTTCTTCAAGAGACCCATCACACATGCCGCGACGCCCACAGGCTCAAATTAAAGGGATGGAGAAAAATCTATCAAGTAGATGGGAAAACAGAAAAAAGCAGGGGTTGCAATCCTAATTTTAGACAAAACAGATTTCAAACCAACAAAGATCAAAGAAAACAAATAAATAACCAAATGGTAAAGGATTCAATTCAAGAAGAAATCCTAACTATCTAAATATATATGCACCAAAAACAGGAGCACACAGATTCATAAATCAAGTTCTTACTGACCTTTAAAGAGAGTTATACTCCCACATGACAATAGTGGGAGAATTCAAATACCACTGACAGTATTAGACAGAACACAGAGGCAGAAAATTAACAAAGATATTCTGGACCTGAACTCAACACTGGACCAAATGGATTTCATAGGCATCTACAGAACTCTCCACCAAAAAAACAACAGAATATACATTCTTCTCATCTGCACAGGGCACGTACTCTAAAATTGACCACACAATAAGACATAAAACTCTCACTAGCAAATGCAAAAGAATTGAAATTATACCAACACTATCTTGGACCACAGCACAATAGACATAGAATTCAAGACTAAGAAAATTGCTCAAAACCATACAATTACATGAAAATTAAACAATCTGCTTCTGAATGACTTCTGAGTAAATAATAAAATTAAGGCAGAAATCAAGTAGTTCTTTGAAATTAATCAAAACAAAGATACAACATAACAGAATATCTGGGACACAGTTAAGTCAGTGTTAAGAGGGAGATTTATAGCACTGAATGCCCACATCAAAAAGTTAGAAAAATCTCAAATTAACAATCTAACATCACAACTAAAAGAACTAGAGAAGCAAGAGCAAATGAACCACAAAATAAGCAGAAGACAGGAAATAACCAAAATCAGAGCCAAACCAGAAATTGAGAAAAGGAAAAAATCCAAAAAATAAAAAAGGAGCTAATTTTTTCAAAAAATTTAAAAAAATAGAGACTGCTAGCTAGACTAATGAAGAAAAGAGAGAAGATCCATAGAAATACAATCAGAGATTACAAAGGGGATATTACCAATGACACCACATAAGTACAAATAACCATCAGAGACTATTATAAAGCACCTATATCCACACAAACTAGGAAATCCAGAAGAAATGAATAAATTCTTGGACACATACACCCTCCCAAGACTGAACGAAGAAGAAATTGAATCCCTGAACAGACCAATAACAAGCTCTGAGATTGAATCAGTAATATATAGCCTACTAACCAAAAAAAAAAGCCCTGGACCAGACACATTCACAACCAAATTCTACCAGATGTACAGAGAGGAATTGGTACCATTCCTACGGAAACTATTCCAAAAAATTTAGGAGAATGAACTTCTTCTCAAATTATTCTGAGGCTAGCATTATCCTAATACCAAAACTTGGCAGAGAAACAGCAGAAACAAAAAGCTTCAGGCCAATATCATTGATAAACATTGATGCAAACATCCTTAAATAAATACTAGCAAACTGAATTCAGCAGCACCTTAAAAAGCTAATCGACTGCAATCAAGTAGGCATTATACCTGGGACGCAAGGTTGTTTCAACATATACAAATCAATAAATGTCATTCATCACATAAACAGAACTAAATGCACAAACCACATGATCATCTCAGTAGATGCAGAAAAGTCTTTTGATAAAATTCAACATCCCTTCATGCAAAAAACTCTCAACAAACTATGTGTTGAAGGAACATACCTCAAAATAATAAGAGCTATCTATGACAAACCCACAGTGGTTATCATACTGAATAGAAACATGTTGGAAGCACTCCCCTTGAAAACCAGCCCAAGTTAAGGATGCCCTCCTGTCACCACTCGTATTTAACGTAGTATTGGAAGTCCTGGCCTGAGCAATCAGGCAAGAGAAAGAAATAAAGGACATCCAAATAGGAATAAAGTAAGTCAAACTATCTCTGTTTCTAGATGACATGATTCTATATCTAGAAAACCTCATTGTCTTGGCTCGAAAGCTCCTTCAGCTGATAAACAACTGCAGCAAAGTTTTAAGACACAAAATAAATGTACAAAAATCAATAGCATTCCTAAATGCCAACAACAGACAAGCCAAGAGCCAAATTAGAAACACAATCCCATTCACAATTGCCACAAAAAGAATAAAATATCTAGGAATATAGCTAACCTGAGGGGTGAAAGATCTCTACAATGAGAATTACAAAACACTGCTCAAGGAAATCAGAGATGACACAAACAAATGTAAAAATATTCCATGCTCATTAATAGGAATAATCAATATGATTAAAATGGCCATACTGCCCAAGGCAATTTACAGATTCAATGCTATTCCTATCAATCTACCAATGACATTCTTCACAGAACTAGATACAAATATTTTAAAATTTGTATGGAACCCGAAAAGAGCCTGAATAGCCAAGGCAATCCTAAGCAAAAAGAACGAAGTAGGAGGCATCACACTACCTGACTTCAAATTATAGTACAATAATAAAAACAACATGATATTGGTACAAAAACACACATATAGACCAATGGAACAGAATAGAGCGCCCAGAAATAAGGCCACACACTTATGACCATCTGATATTTGACCAAGCTGACAAAAACAAGCAATGGGGAAAAGACTCACTATTCAATAAATGGTGCTGGGATAACTGGCTAGCCACATGCAGAAGATTGAAACTGGACCACTTCCTTACACCATACAAAAAAATCAACTCAAAATGTATTAAAGGCCTAAATCCTCAAACTTTGAAAACCCTGGAAGACAATCTAGACAATACCACTCTGGACATAGGAACTGGCAAAGATTTTATGACAAAGGCACTAAAAGCAATCGCAACAAAAGAAAAAATTGACAAATGGGATATAATTAAACTAAACAGTTTCTGCAAAGCAAAATAAACTATCAATAGAGTAAACACACAACCTATGGAATGGCAGAACATATTTGCAAACTATGCATCCAACAAAAGTCTAGCATCCAGCATCTAAAAGGAACTTAAAAATTTACAAGCAAAAACCAAACAGCCCCATTAAAAAGTGGGCAAAGAACATGCACAATTTTCAAAAGATGACATATATGTCACCAACAAGCATGTGAAAAAAGCTCAATGTCAATGATCATTAGAGAAATGCAAATCACGCCACACTAGTCAGAATAGTTATTGTTAAAAAGTAAAAAAAAAAAATAACAGATGCTGGCAAGGTTGCAGAGGAAAGAGAACAGTTATACGCTGTTGGTTGGAATGCAAATTAGTTCAACCATTATGGAAAGCAGTGTGGCAATTCCTCCAAGAGCTAAAAACAGCAGTACCATTTGACCCAGAAATCCCATCACTGGGCATATACCCAAAGAAACAGAAATCAATCTGTTACAGAGACACATGCACACATATGTTCACTGTAGCACTATTCACAATAGCAAAGACATGGAATCAACCTAAATGCTCATCAATGGAAGAATGGATAAAATGTGGTGTATATACACCACAGAACACTATTCAGCCATTAAAACCATTGAGATAATGTCCTTTGCAGGAACATGGAGTTGGAAGCCATTATCCTTAGCAAACTAACGCAACAACAGAAAACCAAATACAGCATGTTCTCTTATACGTGGGAGCTAAATGATGAGAACACATGGACACAAAGAGGGGAACAACAGACACATGGGCCTACTAGAGGGTGGAGATTGGAAGGAGGGAGAGGAACAGAAAAAATAGTCATTGGGTTCTAGGCTTAGCAACTGGATGACAAAATAATCTGTACATCAAATCCTGTGAAATGACTTTACCTGCATAAAATACCTGCACATGTACTCCTGAACCTAAAAGTTAAAATGAGATCTTTCGACTGGTGTGAGATGACGCCTCCCTCTGCTTTTAATTTGCATTTCCAGTTATTGATGTTGAGCCTTTTTTCGTATTTTGGTGGCCCTTTGTATGTTATAACTTTGTCTTTTGTTTTCTGGTCATTGTGCCTCTTTCCTAACAGTATTACCTGGGTATTTCAAAAAAAAAAAAATTATCAGAGTGACTGTGGGTATCCTTATCTTATTTGTGACATTAATGAAAATATTTCTAGCATGTTACTATTAATCATGATGCATTGTAACGGGTGTGTAGATGGTGTTTGGTAAAGGGGTGTGCGTGTTTGTATGTTCATTTATTTAACTAGCCATCTTAATTTCAATTTTAGTAAGATTTTTATAATGAGTAGACACTGATGTTTACAAAGTGAGTTTTCTGTATTCATGAAAATGTCTAAGTAGATTTTCTCTTTCAATCTATTAGCATAGTAAATTATAAATTCCCTAATATGAAACCTTTATTTCTCGCATGACTATCTTCTATTTTTCTTTCAGCACACTGATGAATTCTACTTGATAACATTTGCTTAGTGTGTTTACATTGAAATTTATAAGTTTGATTGGTCTATAGTTTATGCTCTTTGTTGAGTTTTTATATTGAAAATATAGTGGCTTCATAAAAAATTGAGAAATTTTATTTCTATGTTCCAAAAAGTTTTAAATGTAAATGGAGTTATTTGTTCCTTAAATATTTAGGAAAATTCATCAGTGAATCTTTCTGAGCCTAGTGCTTTATAAAGAACAGCTCTTAAATAACTTTTACAATTTTCTTTCATGGCTTTCCGTTCTTTTTGCTTTCAGTTGGTTCCGAAGAAGGTGAGTATGTTAGAGACACCATTACTATTTTTAATAACAAATATTCTCCATAAAAGATTCAACTCATGAGTGTGCATCACTTTCTTCTCTGGAGCTTTCCTAAAATACATACCTGTGGGTTCCACTCCCAGAGATCACTATTTAGTCAGGCTGGAGAGAAGCCCAGGTTTTTTAGTTTTAACAAGATTCTCAGGCAATTCTGGTGTACTTGTCAACAAGATCTCCAATTTTTCTTCCAGATCTGGTATTCAACTTTATTTTGAGACAGGGTTTTACTTTGTTGCCCAGGCTGGAGTGCAGTGACACCATCGTACCTCATTGCAGCCTTGAAGTCCTGGGCTCAGGCGATCCTCCCACTTCAGCCTCCCAGGTAGCTAGAACCACAGGTACATGACACGACACTTGGCTAATTTTTTTTAATTTTTTGTAGAGATGGGGTCTTGTTGTGCTGCCCAAGCTTGGTATTTGACTTTATAACTTCTGAACAGATTTTTTAAAAATGGAACACCTAGTGCCAAAGAAGTCATCCACTGAGTCTATGAAACATTTTCCTAACTTTTGCTCATTGATACCATTTTAATGTTCAAATCATAAGATACACAGAAAAATTTATTAAAGAGTAGTACTAACTTGGAATCATTTATTTTCTCCCTCTTCCCACCTCCACCAAAGACACACACACACACACACACACACACACACAGGCACACACGAGTATACTCACATAAACAAGCTTATAGGTGGCCATCTACACACATTCCTCATGCACAAAGACATGCAGTGCCCAGGTAGACATGTGTGCATGCACACTAACACATACATGTACTGATAGGTACATGCACAGATACATATGCTCACATGCTTTCATGTGCGTACATGCACACACACTCTCATATACTCTCCTGCAACAAGGTATAGTATTAAGTAAAAGGGCCTTCGTTAGGACGAGGCTCAAATTCTGGCTGTGTCAATGACTATCCATATGATCTTTCTGGCCTTCAGTTTGCTCATAGTGTTCATCCCTGACTCACTAGATCATAGTGAGAATCAAGATATAAAGTTGTCTTTAAGCACTCTGTCCATAGCCTGAAAAGTTCTATTCAAACATGTATTACTATATTACAATGTCATTTTCAAGAGATTTAATTTTCTTCATAAAACCATTCAGTGTGATTTGGACATCTGGTAGTAATACCCTTTTATAGATGAAAAATCTGAGGCATGGAAAGTTTTAACTTAACTCAATCTGTGAAGCAAGCATGGCAGAGTTTGTGTCTATCCCTGGTCTCCTACCTCTGGGAGCCTTGCTGCGAGCATCGTCAGTATTATAATGTACCTTCTGGAACTACCATGCTTATTTCACAAAGGACATTGCACTCTCATGGCAATTTATACCTAACCAGTTTAGCTTTAAAAATTGGCTCAAGACAGTGACTACAAATATTTACTATACATATGACTTGGAGGACTAGAGAGCCCTCTACTATACTTATGTTTCCTCTGAAATCCACCCCCCACAAAAAAAAATTTAAAGATGTGAGTATAAAAAATACATTGTTGGAGAATATAAAATTATACTGTCCATACGTTTGAATTTGAGGGTATGCTACCTTGAGAAAGCTGAAAGTTGCAAAGGCATGAGAAATGTATTGCTTGGTTCCCTTGCCCAGAATAGCGGTCGTTCCATTTTAAATGTCACTCGAGTGTATATATGTCAAAAGAAAGATACCAAATCAAACTGACAATGACTCAGTGATCAGCACTGGGCTGAAATTATTCTATGAAGTATCTGTCATGCAAATTGATGGGGAACTTAGCAAAGATGGTATCTCATCAGACATCACAGCAATTTTTCAAAGGCAAAGAAAAACTGTTGCGCATGCATGCACACACACACACACACACACACACACACGCACAAAACCCTGAAAGTTCTTTTGAGGTTATATGAATGATCTTAATACCTACAAAAGATTTTTCTTACAATTTGTAAAAAAAGAGTGTTTAAATAGTTTGTATTTTGGATCAATGCAAAGTTCATTAAGAAAGTAGAAGCAGTAGCTATAGATGTTCAAGAGGAAGAGGAACAAAACAAAGTCAACTGAAAAAAACAGGACAGTTTTAAGTAGTCCTGGAAATAAATTTTATATTCTTTGGAAGCCAAGTTATTTACAAGAGAGAAATAAAATATGTACAGAAAGAAAGTATGGGTCTGGTTCACAAAGCATTTTGTCCTGTATCATCTCATTGAATCCTCAGGACGTCCCTGTAAAGCAAAACAAGTATTAGCTCCAGTTTTTAGATAGAAACTGGGCTCAGAGTTGTTGGCTAGTTCAAGGCTCCAAAGAGCCTTAAAGGCAAATAAATGAAGCAAGAAAGTGCACAAAAGCAACAGGAATCGAAGCATGTTCTCCAAAATGCTTTGTGGTGTCCAGATTTTAAAATCTGTGGAATACTGATTTTCAAATTTGCCTGCACATTAGAATCACTGTGGAGTTCTAAGAAAAATTCTGATGCCTGGTTTTCTACTTCTAGCGATCCTAACTTGACTGCCCTGGGCAACAGCCTGGGCATCAGAATTTCTTAAAGCAGCCTAGAGGACTATAATGGGTAGCCATTTAGGAACCATTGGCCTAGAACACCACAGTAGACTTTAGAACCAAGATTTTTATCATCTCTCTTATTGAATTAAAGGTGTAGTAATGTCTTAATGCTCAGAAAATTCACAGACCAGCAAAAGAGACAGGCACGCATTCCAGTAACCATATGGTGATTTGGTACATATATAATTTACAGTATAAACCAAATGGTATACATTCTAGAGAGCAAATACTTTGGATACTGAGAGAAGTTAGGGAAAATTCCAAAAAGGAGGTGATTGCTGATCTGCACTCTGGAAGGTAAGTCAGAATTGCCAGGCTAAGGGTAGAATGATATTTAATATGTGGGAGGTAGAGGTTGGAAAAGCAAAAGCATGTAAAGAAGAAAATGAGATGGGGAGAAAAAAGGGAGTAATTTAATAAGGTGAAACACAGGGTAGATTTACATAGCTAGAAAAGATTGGTCTAAAAGAAGTAGGTTTACTTTTTTAAAAAAAATATTAGGTTTATATGGTGGGTTAAAAATCACACCATTTAAACGTCCGTTAAAAAAAAAGCGCTCAATTCCTAATTTCTAGTCTCCAAATCACTGTTGATGCTTTCTGGTATATTGTTTGTTTCCACAGCTATTTCATGCATATACACTTAGTGGATCCAAATCCCTGTCTAGAGACAGTTCTTCAAATTACCAAATTGTAGTAGCGGTACTTAATTTTCATGTTAACCTCCACTCCATCAGGTAGAGGCAATCTGGTCTCACCTAAATTAACAGTTTCCTAACATACACATAGACAACACAGGTACACACACAGAGTCTTTGTAGATAGCATCTGATATGGTCTGGCTCTGTGTCCCCACCCAAACCTCATCTTGAATTGTAGTCCAAATTGTAATCCCCAACTGTTGTGGGGGGACCTCATGGGAGGTGATTAGATCACGGAGGCAGTTCCCGCATGCTGTTCTCACGAGATCTGATGGTCTTATAAGGGGGCTTTTCACCTCTTCACTCTGCACTTTTCTCTCCTGCCGCCATGTGAAGAAGGATGTGTTTGCTTCCTCTTCTGCCATGATTGTAAGTTTCCTGAGACCCTCCCAGTCATGCAGATCTGTGAGTCAATGAAATCTCTTTACTTTATCAATTACCCTGTCTTGGGTACGTCTTTCTTAGCAGTGTGAGAATGGACTAATATGGCATCCAAGTTCCAGGGATTTAAATTTACTTGGTCTCAACCTTTCAAGAAAGAGGACAATGGGGGGATTTGGTCTGTGTTATTATCTATCAACTCCAGTAGTCACCAAAAATTCTTCAAGGCCATCTCATCTTCAGTCCTCTCTTCCTGCTCCTGCTGGTGCCGGTTTGCTGTTCTTTACTTCTGATCCCAGATATTCATATTCATTCTCTCTCCCCCCTCCCCCTCTCCCTTCTCCCCCTCTCCCTCCCCCCTCCCCCTCTCTCCTTCTCTCCCCCTACCCCTCCCTCCTCCTCCCCCCCCATCAGAAGATGGATGCTTCTGAACCTTGCTAAGTCTTCAGGAAATTCAGAGGCGCAGGATTTTTGCCATTTCTGTGCTGCAAAATTTCATTGTTCCTTTCTGTGCAAGGAACAATGAAATACTATCTCTTGCCACCCTCCTATAATCCAGGGAAAAGACCATGAGGCCAGCTCAGGCCCAACAGCCTATGCCAGAATTATAAAGAGGTGACCTGCAAGTGTATTTCATGTGGCTATATAAAATGTTCTTGTTTGTCTGTTGCTTGTTTACTTTAAATGTAAACTAGTTGGCAACATGTGAACATCAGGAAGTTTCACATGAAGTGTAGATTTCTAGCTTCTCTTACAAAATCCAAAGATCTGGCAACACTGGGTCTATGTTCTCACTTGGCAAAAATTGGCTGATGTAGGTAATCACAGCATGAATTTTCCAGTTGGATTTTCTATCAAAGGCCCATTGCATTCATTTACATTCCTAGCCTGCTACCTGTAGGAATTTAAGTTTTTAACTTGTTATAAACATACCTCATAGTTTCTTCTATTCTACTTTTTTGCATCTTCTGTAAGTTCTAATTTAGAAATTACGTACACATCCTCTATCAGTTTTTAACTCCCATTAACCATATTACAGAAACTCGCAAGGAACTTGCAATATCTTTTTTTTTCTGAGTTTCCCCTTCTACCCTCCTTCCCACCAGCCTAGTCCAGGAAACAGTATCTTGAGTTGGTTAGAAGCCCCACTCTTAGATCATCTGAAGTTACACAATGCTATGGATTTGTTCATACACCTATATTTGCCCTGTTTCCCTACGAGGACCTAGGCTTTTCAAACTCAATGGCCAGGAAACTGATTATTTTTGTCTCCTGCACTATTATTTCCTTCACCTAAGAAATGTAAAATGCCTTAGCTTTTGGCTGAATGGGAGAAAGTGTGACAGGGTAAAAAGAAGTAGGGAAAAGCATAAATATGCGTGTATATGTATTTTTTCTTCAATCTCCTTTATTCAACAGCATATCTTAGACACTATTTCCTACGTGTGTGTGTGTGTATATATATATATATATATATGTGTGTGTGTATCAACTGTATAATGCTCGTGTATCAACTGCATGAAAGTTGTGTATCAACTGTATAATATTCCAAAGTGTGGCTATGTCATAATTCATTTGCCTGGCCTCCTATAATGAGAAAACAAATTTTCCTTTTTATTAAGCTAAAAATCATGCTGCACTAAACATCCCAAAGTTATTTACACGTGTATGCAAATATATATATAAGATAAATCCCTGGAAGAAATGCTGCCAGTTCAAAGGATTGGTGAATTTCTTTTTATTTTGATAGGTATTACCAAGTCACAGTCACCATGGAAAGATATATACCAATTACAATATCTTTCATACCTGAACGGCATGCCCGTTTCCTTCATATATTTCATCATGTTGTTTTTTGTTATTGTTATTCTGTCTCTGGCAATATTATAAGAAGTAGAATCTGTTTTTTTGTGTTTTGTTTTTTGTTTTTTGTTTTTTTGAGATAGAGTCTCGCTCTGTCACCCAGGATGAGTGCAGTGGTGCAATCTCGACTCACTGCAACCTCCGCCTCCCAGGTTCAAGCAATTCTCCTGCCTCAGCCTCCTGAGTACCTGGGATTACAGGCGTGTGCCACCACACCCAACTTATTTTTGTATTTTCAGTAGAGACGGGGGTTTCACTAGGTTTTTGTTTTTTTTTTTTAATTTGTGATTCTACAATCATGAAGGGATTTGACCAGTACATGAAGCAGGATGTGTGATTAGTAGGTGAGGGAGCCAGCACACAGCCTTTGTCTACCTTCTCCATGTGTGCTATCATCTGGCTTTTCCACTGTCATCTCTCAAATCTTTTACTTATACCTCATCAACTAGCTACCAAAAACACCACTTTAGGAGAATCTCCTGAAAGGAATCATCCTCCTCCCCATTACAGAACTCCATAACTCCCACCACAGACAAGCCCCAGCCAGCAATAACTTTGGGCCGTGATCACAATTCACTTTGAGAGAAATGATGCTCAAAGATCCATTACAAAGGTAAGAGACTAGAAGCAGAGGAGACCAGTTAGGTCGTGGTGGCCATCTTCCAAGGGAAGAGAAAAAGTCTAAAATTATGTCAAAAGTGGAATAGATAGGTGACATATTATTTTGAAGTCTCATAAAGAATAAAACTCAATTGAACTCAGTAAATCATTTACAATGATGGCAGAAAAAGAGGAAGGCTTTGGAGCTGACGCTAAAATTGTGGCCTTGTACTGCTATGCCAACGATGAAGCTATTAACAAATTCAGAAAACATAGAAAAAGCAAGATAATTGTTTCGTTTTTTATAGAGGATAATTCACTTTTTCGTCTTTTGATTCTAAGATGCCTACAAGGCATCTAAGTGGACAGGCTCAGGAGCCATTTAAAAGTTGGGGTCAGGAATGCAAGAGAAAAGAGAAGTTATCTGTATTTAAAATCTTATATGAGACAAATTGAATTTAAAGAAATTCAGCATAAGTTCCACATTGAAACGTTTTATGGAAAAGAAGAGAAAATAGTTAAGTGTTGAAGAAAAATAAAATGCCTGAGGGATTATACTGAACTAGAATCAAATAGGCTTACACATTTTTTATTAAAACACTTTTAAGATGTTCCATCTTGCAAACTGTGTTTATAAAACAAGGGCAATAAAGAAAATGATTACTTGATTAAACACAATAAAACATGTTTTTACATAAACACTTCCACAGTAACAAAGTAAGCATGGGTATCTCATCTCTTCCTCCCACACCCCCTGCACCAAAGGAGAAGACAACAGCTGCATTTCCATATAATCTTGGAATGAGAGAGACATTTCCAAGTAGAAACCAAAGTAGAAAACTTAAACAAAAAGACGACTAGATATTACTACCTGAAAATGTAAAGCTCCTGCATGACAAAAAGAAAGCATTAAAAAACAGCGGGCAAATGATAAAATGGAAAAATATTTGCAATATATGACATACAAAGAATTATCTTTAATTACACAAATCAACAAGAAAAAAATTAACTCCCCCCAAACAGGCAAAGTGATCATAAACATAGAAAATAATATATCTCAGCACTAATTCAGGAAAATAATTAAATTAAAATAATAAAACATTTGTACTTACCAAATATTCAAAGTTATGAAGAAAATAAGGATAACCTCCATGCAGGCAGTATATTGAGATGGATTTTCTCGTGTGCAACTGGTAGCAGCATAAATTGTACCACTTCTTACAGAGCAACTTGGCAATAAATATCAAGTCTTTAAAATGTACATGTGCTACACATTTATCTTAAAATATAGGCCAAGACTTATAAGATCTATGTTAAAAGATGTGCATCAGATTACAATAACAGGAGATTGGTGAAATAATTTATGATGCATACCAATGAAATGTAATTCAGCTACTAAAAATCATTTTTCTTATTATATTTAATGACATAAAGTGTTCAAAATTTAATGCTAAGTGGTTCATGCATGATTCCAAGCAGTTTATGGAGCACAATACCATAAATGTAAATCTTTCTTCCTCTCTCTTCCCATTCTCCCTTCCTCTACACTGCCCACTGCCCCCCACCCACCACCACACAGAGCAGTAGTTACAGCGAAATACCTAAAGATGCCCATTGTGATTATCCCTGGATAGAATTATTACTGAATTTCATATTCTTTATTTTATACTTTATTTGCTGAAATGAACTTGTATTGCTTAATTATCAGAAAATAATTCTAAACTTGCAACCTGTCTTTCTGCCTGCTCCCATACATCCCCAATAGAACTTATAGAATCTCAACAGCTTGGTGCCCTTTCTACAGTGCTTTCTATTTTGGATTCAAAATGTTGAGTAGGATAGATCCAACAGGACCATCAACTAAATGGGCTCATTTTGAATACAAGGATAAGAGAGGCCCATAACAGAGAAGGCTTTCACTCAGAATCATATAGTAAATTGTCAGATTTAGAACAAGATCCATAGTGTTCTGACTACCAATTTAGTCATCTTTTTTCTCTACCACATATTCAATTATATTCCTTCTTTCTGAGCATCTAATTTTGAATACTCTCTTTTAAGATTAGAATAGGTCTACTTTTAAGATTGGAATACAACCATCTGTGAAATTAAAGGACTATAGTAGCTATTTCCATTTCTCCAGCTTACCTTAATTCTAAATACACACATTTGTTTAGCCTCCATCACATTCAGAATACTGTGCTGTGTGCTTCATATAACAGGGAAAAAAAAAAATGAGACCCAATCCCTATCTTTGATAAGCTTTTACTCCAGTGAAGAAAGCAGACACATAAAGAACCAATGTAAGGCATAAAAAAATCACAGAAGCTATGGGAGCACAGGCATTCTGATTACCTGAAGACATTGCATGCCTTGGATTCTACCATGTTGCCTATTCTTGAGCACACAGAATTTTTCATTGGTTTTTAACAGTCATAATTGTCTCATGATATTCTTCATCTAAAAATGCATGAGAATCCAATATAAAATGTTCATAATGACACTGAGTGCACATCCACCCATCACATCTCTGCCCACAACACATGAGGCACATTCTCAGGATTTATTCTCACATCACTGATTCCCTATCCCATCAACACTCTTTAATTCTTAACTATGAAGATTTCCAGTTCTTGAGAAGGGTATATTAGATCTTCTCTACTTTGTACAAATAATTTATATGTATGCAATAAATCTATGACAGTGATCTAATATATACAATGAAAAAATCTACATAGAGAACGAAAGGATCATATATGTCATCAATCTTAGCAGCAGTGTGCTAAGCTAAGGCAAATGACTGGAAAATTGGAAACAGGTGCCTATGTCAAGTCATTTCATTGAAACAATCAACTGGGACAAAGGTTTTCACTACACACAAAGCTTCTCAGCTCTTAGCATGCCACTGGCTGTCCTGTTTCTGTGGCACACTTTATTTCAGTTTTCTTTCAGTTTCAATCTTCTACTTCACCACTGAGCCTGACGTTCTAATGCTGGAACTGTTCCTGCTACTTAATGTGTAAAATACCAATACAACATTTCTGCTCTCCCTTGGGCCCTTCCATAGCATGTAGAAGAAGGAACACTGGTTCGGGAGTCACCACAGATTTGTTCTTAGTCCAACTTGTCCCTCTTATTCTGTGATTGTAATTCTTATATATCTCTGTTTCTATAAAATAGGGAGAATAATGGCTGCCACGTATTCCCTCATTTTCCCTAAATTTTCCTTCCACAGCCCCTTTTATAAGTAGAGTTGTAGTTGAACCCAACATACAGGTTTAAAAACCACATCAATTCTTGACCTAATGTAGGTCAAGCCCATGTGCGTGGATAGCCTCAGACCTGTCTACTGGTGGAGCTTGGAAAGTAACCCCTGTATTCATTCAAGGTTCAGTGAACCAGAGATAAATTTTAAGCACTGGATGATTCAATTTTTATGAGCAGGCTTCTATCTCATTTTGCCTGTCAAGCAACCTACTGTGATGTTGGCACTGTGAGTCTGCCTGGTATGCCATGGCCCTGTCCATATCCCCTCCCAAACTAACCCTCTTTGCCATATTTATCTAAGCATCCTTGCTGATAACTCAGGACCATATTGACTCTGGATTCTTCCTATCACCTAGAACCTCTACCGCTATGGCCTATTAACTAGATAGGGTTCCCATGACAAGCATCAGTACTAGGTTTAGACACTGACAATATCCCAAGGTAGCCATGACTGGGGGCAACACTATATGAATTAGTTACATCCACTACCTTGCTAGACTATATTCCAATTCATACTGACTTCCTCTCCTTCCTTGCCACTCAGTGTTGCTGAGATTCTAACATACCTTATCCCCCAAAGCAAATAATGACAGCATTTGCTCTTCCTACGCCACAAGACTTTTATGAAGCATCAAATGAAACAATATATAGGAAGATGCTTTGAAAATTGCAAAGATGTAGTCAAATGTTAGTACTTCATCTCAAGGTTTACAAACAGTTACAAACTGGAAAGGCATTTTCCTTTCCAGTTCCTTCAAAGAGAAGCTGTATCCTTGGAGGATTGTGAATTTTATCATTTTTTTTTTGGACCTCCCTTGTCTGTTTTATCTTTCAAGAAAAGATTTACCTGCTCTGTCTTTTCCCCTTCCCCTCAAGATTAGCACATAGTTTTATGAAAGACTGTATAAACATGTTTGCTCAGACTCCACTGAAAGATGTCTGCATGCTCTGCCTCTCCATCAAGGAGAAGAAGAACCTGAATAATCAAAAGGCAGAGTTTTGAAAAGGTCACCATAGCGGTGCTCACTTTCCTAACTTATACACATTTCCCCAATTTATGAAATGTTGGTGGCAACTGGAAAAGGAGAAGAAAACCAGCACTGTGTAAGTCAGAAAAGCGCCGCAGAAACATGGCAACAGATGTCAAATCATCTGTCTCTCAGCCAGAATCTTGTGATCTTCCTCAGGTACTCCTGTCAGTACAAAACCATAACAATTTCCGTATTTTACATTTCTCTTTCTTCCCTATATCGCTGAAGTCTGCCAGCCCAAATAAAGACTTTTCACCATTGAACAGTGTCTCTCAGTGCTAGAGAAGGGACTTGTTTCCACAGGAATGAGATGACATTATGAAGAAAATAAGCATGCAAGAGAGAGCATCCTCAGAGTACCCTGATAACAGCAACAAAACTATCCTAAACCACAAGA
This sequence comes from Homo sapiens, assembly GCF_000001405.40. Lineage (NCBI taxonomy): Eukaryota > Metazoa > Chordata > Mammalia > Primates > Hominidae > Homo > Homo sapiens. The sequence goes on from NC_000023.11 coordinate 147,535,388, forward strand.
GAAAGCTGTTTCAATTTACATATATTTCTACATTCCACACAGGAATGAAAGTGACAGGTTTGATAACTGGCAAACTGCCCAGACCACTGAAGAGACGTACTAGTCTGATCCTATCCTCTTCACTCTCACTTTCAGCCCATACGCCAAAAAGTAAGAACTTTAGGTCCCCATTGTCCACTCAATCTGTAACAATGTGTTCACACTAGGGAACAGTGTAAACAGCAATGGTCAACAGTAGGCCCCAGAAACACTTTTAAAATAAGAAGTATGTGCAGCCCTCTTTCTGTATTGTTTCCACATTTAGGGGTCTATTTCCTCTTACTACCCCACCCCGAACTTCAAAGATCCCAATTTCCCCCTACTCTCTCCTTAAACATTAGTGCATATTTAATTTAATGTGTAACTTAAGTGCTGGCTCCTCTTGATCGGGGAGATGGAAGACTTTGTATTCCATAAAAAGTAAAATCCCAGATAAAGGAAATATTTGAGATTTTTAAATTCCTTACCCAAGCCCAGAATTACACCACTGCACAGCAGCCTCTTCTACCTCTATATGTGGCAGGGCTAGTAGGGCAGAGTCAGGTGCCCCAACTAGGGTAGCTGTGTGTCTTTGGGTGAATGACCTTCAGTGAGCTGTAGTTCCCTCATCTGTACACTGAGGATGTGATAGCACCTACTTATAAGTGTATTCCTAAATGTAAATGGTATGGTTCTTGTAAAACATGTTTCTGCTACATGCTGTATATTTTGTAAATAATTAATAATTGTTATGGTTTGAACTGACTCCCATTCAAATTCATTCCTAATCCCTGGTACCTCAGAATGTAACCTTATTTGGAGATGTAGAGATCTAGTTTGGTCTTTCAAAAAATTGTGTGGATACCTTGTGAGAGTATACATTTATGGGGTACATTTTGGTCTTTATAGAGACAATCAATTGAAAATAAAGTCATCGGGGTGTCCTTAACACAACTTGATTGGCATCCTTATAAAAAGAGGGAATTTGGAAACAGGGAGAATGCCATGTAAACACACAGGTAGAAGACAGCCATCTAGAAGCCAAGGAGAGAGGCTTGAAGCAGATCCTTTCCTTACAGCTCTTAGAAATAGACCAAGCCAGCTTCCACACATTGTTTGAAATGCGTACCCTCCAAAACTATGACACAATATATTTCTGTTATTTAAGCTATCCAGTCTGTATTATTTTGTGGTATTTTGTTAGGCAGTTCTAGCAAACGAATACAATGTTTACTTATAATAAAGCTGAATGCATATATACATCTCTTTTTGGTCAGCATATCAGAAGATAGGAAATATAAAAATAATTACAGCCCATTTAGGAAATAAGAATACCCCTGTCTATTTCAAGTTATAGTCACATAAAACAGAAGTAACAAATAGGGTAACCATATAATTTACTACATAAACCAGGGCAATTTTGAGGATAAAAAGGGACATTATTAGTAAATAGACTGGATTGGCAGCAAACATCAAAATAGGACTGTACAGTGTAAATCAGGACCTGTGGTCCCCCTAGAAATGGAGAGCAAAGGTATACCCCATTGCCATCAACCAAGTCAGTTAACGCAAGATTCACTAGTTCCACTAGAGCTGTTTGGTTAATTTAACCATAGCTATCAATTAGCTTGTAAAAATATGAGTTAAGGTCGGAAGAAAATAAGGCCAAGTTAATTACCTCCATGTCATTAACTTTGACATTGTGTTCATTTCTAAAATGTCCTGAGGCTAACAGAGCTTAAGTTCAGAAATTTGAACAAGTCTTAGCTTAGAGATAAGTGTGTTTCTGTTGATGATATATTACTTTCTGATCCTCTAACTTAGAAAGGGAGAACAAGACGGGAAGTGCTTAATGTAATACATGCTTCATCTGAGAATCAGATCATGAGCACACTGAAGGAACAAGTCAAGGGCATTCATTACTCAGCGGGCCAGGGAAAGAAAAGATGTTGGCTCAGAGAAAATTCCCTCCCACTCCTGGGCAAAGAACAGTCAGTACGCTTCAAGGATTGTTTTCCCAACGTAGGTACTTCCCTGTTCACTTGGACTGCCACATAACCACCTCTGTATGAAGGAGGGTATTCTAAACAGGAGGTTGTTGTGAGTAAAATATTTGCCCTCCTCACTAATTGATTTTTTTAATTAATCACTTCATTTAGAATCCATTCAACCTAGTAGAGATGAACATTCATCATACTGGGAAGACTTTCAGCTCAGAGAGAACATCCATGGCTAGTAATTTGTCTATGAACTGGCTTAGGAGTCTTTAAATGAGATTGAAGCCATTCTTATAAATCTAAAAGGCCATGCAAAATTAAAAAGTGAGGCCAGGTGCAATGGCTTACGCCTATAATCCCGGCACTTTGAGAGGCCGAGGTGGGTGGATCACCTGAGGTCATGAGTTGGAACATGGTGAAACTTCGTCTCTACTAAAAATACAAAAATTAGCCAGGTCTGGTGGTGGGTACCTGTAATCCCAGCTACTCGGGAGGTTGCGGCAGGAGAATTGCTTGAACCCGGGAGGTGGAAGTTACAGTGAGCTGAGATCATGCCATTGAACTCCAGCCTGGGTGACAAGGGTGAGACTCCATCTCAAAATAAAATAAAATAAAAATAACCTTGTGAGCATTGTTAAAGAGTGAGCTAAATGCAAAGTAAACCTATTTGGAAAAACTTTGAGTCAGTAATTTCAATATTGTTAAGAAACACATTAATGAATGATCATTCCTCAAATTCACAATTGCCCTCTGCTTATGGTGAGGCAGTGTAGTACAGTGGAAAGAGCATGGGTCTTGCAGCAGGCAAACTGGGACTCTGTCATTTTCTAGCAGTGTGTTCTTTGTTCTGAGGCTTAGTTTCTACATCTGTAGAATGGGGCAAGTAATATTTCCCCTTTGTATTTTGTGGAGCTCTCATGAAAATCCAATGAGATAAAGTATATTAAACCCCTCTATAAAATATGAAACATCTCATAGTTAAATGGTATTGCAAAAACATTTAAGTACAATGGTATTTATAACTAAATAAATAATTGTTGAGGTACAGAAATAAATGAAATGTTCCCATCCTAATCAAACAGGTGATGAAGCAATGGTGTGATCTCTAAAACACAAATATTCACCTCCCCCTGCCCTCGCCAAATCACCCCAAATACTAGGCTTTCAACGAATGCCACATTCAATGACACAGTGCTTTGATAAAAGTCATGTGTGACTGAGTGGGGTTGCCAAGAATAGCCAAGGTAGCAATGGCCAACAGTGAAAGGATGTTTGGGATGTGCCAGCGAACATTTGAGGCATTAATAAAAATAGGATATGAGAGTTTTAATAAAAGAATATCACACCTAAAAATTGGTACTTAGGCTGAAAATGGTAAAACAGTGGTAAAGAAAGAAGACGACAAGAAACAAACAAGTTGTAGAAATAACTAATTATAATTCAATTGGTTTAACCAAGTAACCTATTACAAAAGCCCAGATCCTAGTTTGAATGAGTCTAGATTTCACTGAGTGAGTTTAGATTGCTGATTAAAAGTTTTCGGTCAAAACAGAGGACAATTTTTTGTCAATGTTTTAAAAACCACACAGAAGCATGCTTTCCTCTAATTCTAAAAAAAAAAAAAAAAAAGAAAAAGAAAATTCTTGCCTTGTTCTTCTTAATCATAGCATTCTTATCGTACTGAAATTGCCCTTATTGCCCTTAAAGTCAGAGCTTAAATTTTAGTACCACATTAATCTTATGCTGCAATAACTATCATTATACTAAGAATCTAATAACAGCTTATTGTCAGAACAATAATTCCATTAATAGCTTTTAATAGGATTGCATTAACTCTAAGTGTGCTTCCAATATAAATTATTCCACAAGTACCCACTTGCATATAATCACTTCCTTAGAATATAGCAAAATAACAGCCTCAGCTCCCAACTCCTTAATTTATTTTACATTCCCTTTTGTAACATTTCTGGATCTGAGTAACCAAAGAAGAACCAAGTTAAAAAGTTCCTTACAGATCATCTAGTCCATCTTCCTCATTCTGCAGGTCAGAAACCAGAGGATTCAGAGATGCCACATGGGTTGTCAGTACTAACATATCTTTAAGCAGAAGCAGCTCTGCTAACGTTTAATTAAAGTGATGAGGTCTGTACAGGACCCTGAAAAGATAACTTGAATTTCATAATCATGCGTCCGGAGTCATGAGCAAAATTGATCATATTAGCTTATCATCTTAGCATGATCTTATTGTGATTGGTGAAATCAAAGGGACTATATTCTGGGTTAATAAACAGTGAAGGTCATTTGAAAGAGATGTAGCATACTATTATGGGAAAAGCCTGGGATTCAAAGTAGGGGGACAAAGATTCCCATTCTGGGCCTGCCACTTACAAATCACGTATTGTTATTTATGCTACTTAGTCTCTACGAGTGTCAGTCTTTTTATCACTAAAATGAGAACACAGGCACCTACTTTGAAGATTAATACATGGATTCAATGAAACGATAGATGTGAAAATGCCTTGTAAAGCACAAATTGCTACATAAATGTTTGTTTTAAAATACCTCCCTGAAAAAAAAAAACATTCCATTGATAATGAAATTAAAACTTTAAAGGAATAGTTTAGAAATACACAGAATTGTTGGGAATGATTTAAGCAAGCAGCTTGTCAGACGTGCATGTGGTTTGGAAGGTCAGCGAGTGGAATCAATAACATACAGAGAGCATCAGAGCTACGGCTCCCATAGGAGCAAGCAGCCACGGGTTATTGAAAAGAAGCCAAGAATTAATTTCCAAGATGACGAACTGGGGCTGGACAGGTGCTTTCCTTCAGTACATCTATATCTCTACCTGTGTATATATCTATCTCCTTATTTAATCCTTGTAAGAAGCACTTTACATTTTCGGGAGACTAAGACTTGGTGACATTAATAATCCTGCCCAAGACATAAAACCAACGGGTGCAAGACTTAGATTCAAAGCCAGTGTTCTTCCCACCTTAACAGCATACCGCCTGGCTCACTGTCAAGAGTTCCTGCAAAGTAATCTCCTTTGTGCTACTTTATTTCTAGTTTTGCCCTTCACTTCCTAGACTTACTCTCATCATAGGCGTCCACTTCAGTATTTTATATATGTTCTTGGATATATATGTATATTTGTGAAAGTACATTCTGACATTTTGTGTGCTATCTACATAAATATTACTCTATAGATCACACATTGTTACTATTTTCCATTTAATACTCGACTTTTTTCAGAATCCATCCATGTTGCCATATATACATCTAGTTCATTTCTTGTGGCAATTGGATAGTATTCTATGGTATACATCTAACATATATATATTGGTGCATTTTCCCAGTGATGGCTAGCTATTATCTATAAAGCAGAATTATCTAGAAACTCAAAAGGTTTCTAAATATGTTCACAGTTTATATGAACTTCACCAATTGATTTTGCTCATCCCTACTATTTTATAGATGAGAAAATCAAAGAGAACTATCCAAGACAGTCCATCAGAACTAGCAGCATCTAACAAAACACTAACCAAGACAATATAAATTCACAAGGCTATCGCCAAGAGGCAGAATTTACCTTCTCATTAGGAACTGACAAAGGCAGAGAGATCATGCCATTTGGTGACACAGAAAATCTTACGTACAGTGTCCTCATAGTCTGGGAACATGATATGGACATGGATTCACTTAGATATGCACGTTGACAGAGCCTTACATGAAGAAAGTGTAGAAATTCAGGCTCCCAAAGGAGCTGCTGTGTGAATTCAGGAGGTACTCTGCTTACTTTAGTATGTAGAGTGAGAGATCTTCAGCTACCTTCCCTAGGTCTAAGTCCCAGCTTTGCCAATTAAGAGATCTATAACCTTGAGCAAGCTGCTTCAATCCTCCTGCCATCATGTCCTCATGGGGTAAAATGAGGATTAAATAAGTTAATATTTGTAAACCCTTAGAGTTGTGCTAGGAGCATAAGAAGTGCTTTATAAGCGTCTGTTGAGTAAATATATATAAAACTCATGGGAAGTAGATTGTATTTTGTAAAACTGGAAGCTATCTACTTCCCATGGGTTTTATGAGGGTAGATATAAATGCATTAAGTGTGTCTAATTGTGTATTACCATTCATTATATTCCTAATCGTCCTTAAAAATATTATTTAAAAAAATTCCTACTACTCTTTTAAAAGAATATTCCCAATATTCTTTAAGAATAACAAAGCCCCATTCAAATGAACAGGTCCTAAAATCCGGATAGGATAGGCAACTAAATGGAATGAAAGTAAAATCTGGCTCTACTTGAATATTCGGTGTATAGCTTTCATAGGGCAGAAATTAGATTCAGTATTCATAGGGTTCCATCAGAGTTCACTGTTAACCAAGGCTGTATGAAGAGGCCAATCAAGTAGGTGGAAGAAGCAAGGACACTATAGACTAATAGAATCATGAGTCCTATCAATGGCAAGTAAATTTAGGGAACAGGAAGTGCAGTCCTTTGCTTAATAAAGGGGGAATTTGAGATACCAGAAAAGTTAAAAGGAAAAAAAAAAAGCTTTGTCTGAAGTCAAAGAATCAATCAGCTGCAATGCTCAAAGACTCAATCCAAGGTTCTTTCAACTGTATCATGCACAAACTCAAATTCCCATGTATTAGAAGTGCATGCATCAGACTTTTTTCAAATCATACAAAGAAGATAAATTGGGGGAGATTATTCACTTTGAAATAAAAAGGCTGCTTTAAAAAGGAACTCACAGCAGGGTTCCTTAAATAGCAGCTCTCCTCCTGCATTTGAAATTAGACCTTACTCCTATGGAACATGAGGTGCCCCAGTAGTAGTGCAGAGTCCTAGTCCCCCAAACACTAAAGAAAGACTCTGATTAAGTTTGAAATTAATTTCATTTGCATACATAATCATAGTCATGACTTCATAAGCATATAAATTAGAGAGGCTATGAAGATGAGCATTCCTTATTTTTATAAATACAGAAAAACTGCAAAGCCAGAGTAGCCTTGGGGAAGGGCACATTCGAGTTTGACTTGGTAAGTGGTTAATTCTCGGTTTGTTATGCACAGTCCCTCTAGATCAATGGTGTTTTTCACTCACAGGGCCATGTGTCACTCCCCGTCTGAGAAAACTGGGACTCCTGTCTTTCTCCCTGATTTGACTGTGATTTCCTCAAGGGCAAGGACAAAGATCTTGATGTACTCATCTTTGTGTCTCTACTGTTCAGCACAAGGTCTGGCACGGAAAAGAAGGTATGCAATGACTGGTGGTTGAAGAAAAAGTGAAGGAGTCGACTAATGTTTCTTCAAATCAAGTTTGAGTTTTTCACATATAAATCTGTAAACTAAGAGACATGTGATGATCTGTGTATAGAAACTAACAAAAAAGTGAATACATAGTTTAGCAGACGGTGATAAATGCTGTGGGAACAAAAGCAGTGCAAGGGTACAGAGAGTGCTTGGGAGGCTGAAGGGGGTTTGGAATTTCAAGCAGAGAGATCAGGCAAGGCATTGTGAAAGTGCTATTTGAGCAAAGATTTGAAGATGGTAACAGACTAAGCTAATAAGCTATACTGTCACTCAGGAGAAGAGCATTCCAGGCAGAGGCAAGGACTCACTCAAATGCCTTAATGTCAGAGCCTGCCTGTTTGAAAAACAACAAAAAGGCCTATGTAACTAGAGGAGAGAAGAGGGTGGGGAGGCGGCAGTGTAGTAGGACATAGGGTTAGAAAACTAACTTAGGTCCAATATAATGAAGGAATTGGTAGGCCATTGTAAGGGAAGCCAATGGAAGATTCAAAGCAGGAAACTGACATGATGTGACTTATGTTTAAAAAAAATCACTCTGGTTTCTGTGATTAGAATATGCCATGGGGGCGAGGGATGAAGCAGGGTGACCTATGAAGAGACCATCTTTAATAATTTAGGTGAAAGAGAATGGTAACTCAGATTAGGTTGGTAACAGAGGATATAGTGGGGAGTGGGAAAATTCTGGATAAACTTTGAATATGGAATAGACAGTGTTTTCTAACAGATTAGATGTTGAATATGAGAAAAAGAGAAGCATTAAGGATGATCCAAAGATTTTTGGCTTAAGAAACTGGAAGCATGAAGTTTCCATTTACTAAAATGAGGAAGGCTTTGGAGGAGCAAGAATGTGTTTGGTGGGTGAGGTGCAGAGATTAGGAGTTCGGTATGGACATATTAAACCTAAGATGTCTAGTAGACATCTGCGAGAAGTCGTAGAATGGGTGGCTGGATTGACGGCAGGGGCCAAGGCTGGAGACACCATTAGGGTACTCATCAGCAGATGGATGGCATTTAAAGCCAAGATATTTAATAAAATCAAATGTTATCAGTTGAATTGTGCTCTCTTCAACATTTATATGTTGAAGTCTTAATCTCTAGTACCTCAAAATGTGACCTAATTTAAAGAAAGTGTCTTTACACAGATTGAATTAAAATTAGGTATTAGGTTGGCCCTATTCCAATACAAACTGTGACCTTATGGATAGGAGAAATTTGGACGCACACACACAGACACACAGAATACCCTGTCAACATGAAGACATCAACATGAAGACACCCATCTATAAGCCAAAGAGAGAGGCTTGGAGTAGACCTTCCCTCACAGCCCTGAGAAGGAACCAACCCTGTCATGTTAAAACCTTGATCACAGATTTTCAGCCTCCAGAACTGAAGTACTTTGTTACAATAACAAACTAATGTATCAACCTAATGAGTAAGTGTGGATGCAAAAAGATGTGCAAGAACTAAACTGAACCCTGGATCACTACAACCTTTAGAGTTCATGAAGAATAAGAGTATCAGCAAAGGAGATTGAGATGGACCAGTCAGGGAGATGGAAGAAAAACCAGAGAAATACTGAAATCCAAGTCAAGGAACTGTTACAACAAAGAACGAGTGATCAGCTTTATCAATTACTACTTATAGTCAAGTCATATGAGGGCTTATAACTGTTCATTGCATTTAGCAATGTAGATTTCCTTGCTGATCTGAAAAGAACAATTTTAGCAAAATAGTGGGATGAAAGCTTGATTGGAATGGGTTCAAGAGAGAAAGAGAGATGAGCAATTAGAAATAGCAAAAACAGTTTTACTCTTTTTTAGAGGTTTGATGAAAGAGAGCAAAGAAGTGAGGTGGTAGTGAAAAAGATGTGTAGAGAGAGAGTTGATTCTTACCGTTGAAGAAATCACAGGAAGTTTGTATTAGACATGATCCATTGCATCAAAATTGGTTAAATAATGGTTATGAATTGCTTATACAATGTCTTTGTAGAGGGATTAGGATCTAATCTCAATGGAAGGGCAACAAAAAAGAAGGCCAAGTATAATACAAAATAGTATAGTATAGTATGGCATAGTATAGGACAACCGTGACGATTTAATTAGATAACATGGTGAAAGCTCTTACACTGTACCTGCCACAATGTGGCTGTTCAATAATCATTATTATTAGGTATTATTCAAATGTTGTTTAACTACTCTCTTCCCTTCCCTCTCTCCTATTTTCCTCTCATGTGAATCACCTACATATAAGTGTATAAGATGTCATGAATATAGCTGAGATTATCTTAAGAGAGTAGATAGAGAAGGATACCTCTGAGTATTTCAAAGTTTAGAGATCAGAAAGATGAAAAGGGACCTGGAGAATGAACAACTTGAAGGGTAGAAGAAAAACTGTACAAGGAAGCAAAAAGGGGAAGTATTCCTTAGACTGCATGGAAATAAAAGATAACAGACATCCTAACTGTGTAAAGTCTCTACAATGTCAGTAAGCTGCAGGGGATCCTGAGGAAAAAGCAGAAAGATAAAAGTTGCCTAGTAGTCTGCTCTCATCTGACTTGGGAAGAAGGGAAATGAGAAGGAAGTGACCTGGGCTACTATAGTCCCCAAATCTCATTGTAGTTCACATCAAGGTTTGAATCCTGCTTTGAATCCTCCATTGGCTTCCCTTACAATGGCCTACCAATTCCAAAGAAGTCAAGTCTGTGCATCTTACATAATATCATTTGGATTTTTAAACTATCAACCATACTTTCCTCTCTGCAATATCATAAATCTACACTTTGCCACCTCAATCAGATTAATCTAATGCCCCTTTTCATCAAATGCATCTTCTATTTGAGGACAATCTGTCCTAAAGTTTTGGCTAACATGTTTAATGTTCTTTTCTATAAATAGAAATTGTGTCACACACTCAGAGAAGTTTCCAATTATGCAAACACATCAATTCCAGAAACCCTGATAGACTTTTTGGATTGCTCTTCTCAGGGCTGATGTAGATTTAAAAAGTTATTTTCAATGATTTCATTGCTAGAGTTCTTAAATCTTTATTGCCTCTGGATTTTTTGGTTTTCAATTTATAAAGTAAACATTAAGGTCCAGAGAAAGAGTTAAGTTTTTAATATGCAGACTAGCGACAAATAATTCACTCAACTATTTTGATAAGACAGAGGTATACTCTGCCAGAAGGCTTAAAATATAATTTTCTAAGTGTGATCCCCAGGCCACTTTCATCAGAACTGCCTTCTGTACCAGAATCTCTGAAGACGGAGTTCAAGAATCTGAATTTCTAAAAGTGTCTTAAGTGATTGTTAGGAAAAATAAGACTTGAGAACCACTGCCTTAAACTACACTGTGAACCAAAGAAAGAGGGAATGTACAGTAGGACCCTGTGGCTGAAGCATTAAGTGCCATGGGATGAGGCTAGTGTTCACTAGCAACTCATTTGTAATTTCATTTGTAAAGTTAAAGATGTTATCTCTTAGGTCATGAAGAACCATCAGAGAATTTTTATTTCCTCATTTTAGAGGTATAATACCTTCATTAGAATGCAAGCTTACTAGAGCAGGAATGAACTTTATTCCACCATACTTAACATGGTGTTTAACTTATAGTAATGTGCAATAAATGTTTGTTGCACTAAATGGAACATTACAAGTGAATGGGGAAAGGATGGACCAATGGAAAAATGGTCCTGGAAAATTGGTTATCCATTCAGAAATAAAGAAATTGGGTTCCCTCCCTCATACCACAGGCAAAATTCAATCCCAAGTGGATTAGAAATCTAAACAAGAAAGCAAAGTTTTAAAACGTCTATAAGAAATTACTAAACCTTAGTGTATGAAAAGATTTTCTGAACAAGATACAGAATGTACACATAATTTTAAAAAGATTATTAATGCAACAATAAAAAGTCTGTGACAAAAGATATAATTTATAAGAGTATAAAAAGGCACAGAATAGGCGAGACTGTCTACAATACATTGAATTGAATACCAACAAGGGCTTGGCATTCAGAATAGATACTGTCTGCTCTAAATAAGAAATATGGCAAGCAACCAAAATGTTTAAAAAAATAAGCAAAGAACATTAGCAAACACTGAGCATAATAGGGAAAATGACCAATAAACACATGAAAAGGTGCTTAATACCACGAGTAATGAGAAAATGAAAATTAAAACTACAACGTGATACCATTTGAGAAAAATATTTGTTATGTCAATTTCTAGTTTTGGCAAAAAAGCAGAGCAATTGAAATTCTCATGTTTTCTGATAGAAGTATAAACTGATGTAACCACTTTAAAAACCAAATTAGCAAATATGCAGTAAAGATTTGTACGCATCAAGTCAATAGGTTAACTTCTAAGTACACTGTCTAGAAGAAAATCTAATATGTGGGCACAAAAAGATATATACATGAATATTTTCTTGAGTCATAGACAATTTTTGTCAACACAGTATCACAAAAAATTGGGAAAGAACACTAATGTATTTCAACAGGAGAATAAATTGTAGCATAGAATTACATATAATGAAAATTAATAAATAAGAGCGATACATATCAACCCAGGAAAATCTCAAGAACATAAGGTTAAGTGAATGTAACAAGCTGAAAAATATGTAGAGTATATTACCTGAATAGATATATAAAAATGTTTAAAACCATAATAAGATACATTATTTCTAATTTGTGCATATTATTTTAAAACAAAGACATGCATAAGAAAGAAAAACATCAAACCCTGAAAAATGTTTGTTTCTGGAGTAGAGTGGAACTAGATGTCTAGTAATGTTTTCTTTCTAAAAAAACAATAGTAAATCTGAAGCAAAAAGAGGCAAAATACTAAAGATTTGATAAAGGTACAATGGGTGGCCACACAGGTATTGGCTACATCATTCTCAAATGAGTGCCTAAACTGTGGTGTTGCTGATGAGACTGAATAAGAAGAAATTAATCCAAATGATATGTTAAAATGATAGAATTATCTAGACACGGTGATGTTCTCCTGTAGTCCTAGCTAATTGGGAGGCTGAGGCAGGAGGACCACTTGAGCCCAGGAGGCTGCAGTGAGCAATGATAGAGCCCTGGGCAATAGAGCAAGACCTCATCTCTAAAATGCAAAAGAAAAAGAAAGAATTAACAAGGTATGGTGATTAAATGAACATAGAGGATATGGGTCAGGTGGTTAAATGAATATAGAGGATATGGGTCACGTCAGAGTCAGTAGTAACTCCCAGTTTTCAGACTTGGGTGAACAGGTGGTATCATTTACTGAGATAAAGAAATACCATCTGACCCAGTCATTCCATTACTGGGTATATACCCAAAGGATTATAAATCATGCTGCTATAGACACATGCACACGTATGTTTATTGCGGCACTATTCACAACAGCAAAGAATTGGAACCAACCCAAATGTCCATTAATCATAGACTGGATTAAGAAAATGTGGCACATATACACCATGGAATACTATGCAGCCATAAAAAAGGATGAATTCATGTCCTTTGTAGGGACATGGATGAAACTGGAAACCATCATTCTCAGCAAACTATCGCAAGGACAAAAAAACCAAACACCACATGTTCTCACTCATAGGTGGGAATTGAACAATGAGAACACCTGGACACAGGAAAGGGAACATCACACACCGGGGCCTGTCCCCCCCCGGTGGGGGGAGGGGGAGGGATAGCATTAGGAGATATACCTAATGCAAATGATGAGTTAATGGGTGCAGCACACCAGCATGGCACATGTATACATATGTAACAAACCTGCACATTGTGCACATGTACCCTAGAACTTAAAGTATAAAAAAAAATTTATAGAAGGAGGAATATTTGAGGTGAGGTAATTAATTTTGTTTTGAGTGAATAGAGGCAGAAAGATAAATGATTTCAAGCTTATTGATCATTTCTGAGTACTGCTACATATCAATATGGCTGGTATATTGCTGTCTATAGCAGAAAGTAGTAATTGTATTTCATCTTTCCTAGAATCAGGGATTTTGTCTGTAAGTACCATTAGATCACCAAGTCCAACTCTGAATTTTAGAGATAGGTAAACAAAAACCAGAGAAGGGTAGTAACTAGCTCAAGGTCACACAACTATTGAGAGGAGAATCTGGGACTAGAACCAAGATCTGATTCCAAGTTCTTTAACATTATATTAATATTATAGCTATTATAGCTTTCTGTGAGGCTGGCCACCTGTCTTCTGACCTCACCTTCAGCGTCCCCTCCCCAGGAAGGCCTTCCTGACCATCCCACAGATAGTCCATCCTCTCCATACCTTGAACAGGCTGCTCATTTGTTTCCTTTAGTCTGCCTCTGAACTTGGTGCTTTGGGAGTTTTAGTAACAACATTTTATGAGTTTCTGCCACAAAAAAATAGCAAATTTCCAATATATTGCTCTTTTTTTCTAGAGAACTACCAAAAAAATTTATTTACAAGTTTTATATGATATGCACATTTAAATACTCCTCAGAAATGTGCTATCTTTTCCAAACCAGTACCACTTTGCTGACTCATATTTGGCATACAAGAGGCTCTGAAAATAACTATTTAGTGAAGGACAACTATGTACTCAGTCTTGTACAATGTACTGGTAGCTATACATAATTTAACAAACCTGATAACATCTCTATTTTAGATATTGTTCACATTTGACAGATAAACTGTAACCAAGATAGGTAATATACTTTCCAGAGACAAATACAAATTAACTACTTTTATGTTTTCCATTTTTAAAGAAAAAGAGGTAACAGAAACAAATAGACCAAACAATATGCCCAAGATCACAGGGCTAGCAAGAGACACAATCAGGATTTGAACCCAGGCAGTCTGGTTTTCGACTCTGTTCGTAATTAATCACTATGCTGTACTGTCTCTTGCAAAACGAGTGCTTTCTAAATATTGGCTAAAAGTTTGAAGGAGGTGATTAATTATTCCTAGGGCTACTTTGTAGTGGAGCTGTTGTTACTTTGGTTGGGCATGAAAAGAATAAGAGCATTTTTATTTGTAGACAAGGAGGGAAAAGTGGTGGCTGAGAGAACTTCATGAGTATAGGTCATGATACGCCTGCGGGGTGCCCACTGTTTGGGGAAATGACAAGCAGCTTATAATCAGAAGTAGAGGAAATTTGAAGGGAAATCATAGAGGATGAGATGAGATTTGAAAAGTAGGTAGAGATCATGTGGGGAAGAGCATAAGTTCCCAAGGAGCAGAAGTTTCTGAGAAAAGGGGTATAAGGCAGAAGAGCTAGATTCTCTAAGTTATAGCCCCTAAGGAGGAAGACTCATAATCCAAGGCTGAAAGGAACAGTGAAGGCCTAGAAGACCATGAAACAAGAGTCTGGATGCAGACATTTTTGCTTATTAGATAGTCCTGTGGCCTTTCGTTCACTTTTCTAGCAATAATTTGATTTTTTAAAATTTTAAATAATGCCGTTGCTTCTTTAGCTTGCTCTCTTTCTCTGCTAAAAAAAAGACATTCTTCTCTTTTATCCTCTAGAAGATTATGGTATGGTTTTAGAAGGAAACGGGATCAAAAATTTTAGAGTGTTTCTTGGGTCTCTTACTGAGATTTACTTCAGGACAGTTCAGCCTATTTCAATCACATAAGTTTATAAAGGTAAAAACCATCTTACTCCTATGGGGCTTTGGCAGGGGGAAATGGTATTTCGCTCTGAGTGAAGGATGGGGCGCCATCTGCAGGGCTAGTTTGAAACTAAGCATTTGCCTGGATTAAAAACAAGCAACAAGCCCTAAACACAGTGGTTTTCAAACTTAAGCAGTGGAGCCTGTTTCAAATCTATCATTACATGGAACTTTGCTATATAAACCAGATAAAAGCAGTAGTTATTATAACTTGTTTATTTTGTAGAAGCAAAGTTTTAAGTATTTATTGATCACATTACACATGAAGGTGTTGTGGTTTACGTAATTCAAAATCAAGGTTTTAAATAACCTCTCATGTTTCCTCAATAACCAATTCATTTCTCTATATTGTTGTGATTTCATAGTATGAAGACAAGTCCTAATTCATACAAATAAGTATTTACAAATTATAATTGTTTTTAATAGTGTACCTTTTTCAGTCTATTTTTTTAATTATATTCCAAAAGCTACCATTTATGTATAGAAACATTGATAGAGGTTAAAAGAAAGGGCAAAGATTCATCAAGTAAATTCAAGTAGATTTAAAGTAGTCTTGACAATACGAAATTCATACAAAGAGAATTCAAAGCAAAAGGCATTAAACTGGGAAAGGAGAGTCATATTTCATTGATTAAAAGAAAAAATCACAAAAACTAATATTAAACTGTTAGAAATACAAGGAAAACACATTTCTTAGCATTATATCACAGCATTATTCATAGTATTATTCATAATGGTAAACTGAAAATAACCAAAGCTACATAAATACATAGTTCTAAATAAAACACTGGAAAATGATAAGCAAAATATATCAGAATATTATCAATGATAATGCAGGAAGTAATATGATCAGATTTACATTTGATAAAAATGAAAGATTCCACTCACAGTAGCCTAAATTAAAACATGGCGTCTATATAAAGAGAATATTAAATTTTGCTGGCAGCATACAGGATTTGAATAAATGGAAAGATATGCCATATTCTTAGGAGGGAAGAATTAATAGAGCAAAAATGTCCATTCTTCCCTTAATTATTCATAAGTTGAACAGAATCATAGGCTAAACCCTCAATAAAATTGAACTAAAGTTTTTACAAAAGGTTAAAATTCAGAAGAATATTGGAGAGTAATTTAAGAAAATTTTGGAAAGAGGAATGCTGAGTCCAGAACTGCCCTCCCAAAAGAGAGTATATTTTGACAGGTATTTGTTAAAGTACTAGCAGACCAGTACAACAGAAGGTAGAACCCTAAAATGAACTCTATGAGTTTAGGATTTCCAGATTTGGCAACCAAATTTAACCATACATGGTGGAGAAAATAGCAGAAACTTCACCAACCCCAAGACCAACTTAAATAAACAAACGTGGGCAAATATTTGCCACAAATACATCACATCAAGTCACTGTTAATGACCTTACTATTGTTTTTCAAACCATTAAGGGCAAACACTACCCAAAGAGAAATAATAAAGGATACAAATCAAAATTTCACCAAAAATGAAATGTCAACGGCCAATAAATATATAACACTGTGTGGCGGGCGCAGTGGCTCACACCTGTAATCCCAGCACTTTGGGAGGCCGAAGCGGGCGGATCACAAGGTCATCCTGGCTAACATGATGAAACTCTATCTCTACTAAAAAGAAAAATACAAAAAATTAGCCGGGCATGGTGGCAGGCGCCTGTAGTCCCAGCTACTCGGGAGGCTGAGGCAGAAGAATGGCGTGAACCCGGGAGGCGGAGCTTGCAGTGAGCTGAGATAGTGCCACTGCACTCCAGCCTGGGCAACAGACTGAGACTCTGTCTCAAAAAAAAAAAAAAAAATATATATATATATATATATATATATATATACACACACACACACACACACACACACACACACACACATATACACACACACATATATATATGAGAAAAACACTGTGTTCAACCTTACAAATTATCAACAAAACACCTTTGTCTATACTTTTTTTTTCTTTTTGTACAAATGGATTTGGTTATAAATCAGGATTTCTTATTTTCTTTTATTTTATTATTATTATACTTTAAGTTTTAGGGTACATGTGCACAATGTGCAGGTTAGTTACATATGTATACATGTGCCATGCTGGTGTGCTGCACCCATTAACTCGTCATTTAGCATTAGGTATATCTCCTAATGCTACTTTTTTTTAAAAAAAGTATTTTCCTATTGTTATTTGCAAGAGGAATCTCTCTTATTTTTTAGCTCCCTGCTTGAATGTCACCTCTTCAGAGAGGACTTCCCTGGCTGTCTTATTGAAGTAGCCACACACACCTCTAACAGGCACACTTGTTCTTCATGATTGCAATGCAGTGTCCTTCATAGCACATACCTTAAGAATACCTACATTTGTTTGTTGTCTCTCTGCTCCACTAGTCTACAACTTCCACAAAAGTAAAGAATATGATTCATTTACCAATACCATATACATCCAGTTCGTAGCATGGTGTCTGGCACAAGGCAGGCACTCAATTTTTGTCAAATGAATGAATAAATGAATGTAGTTTTCTTCTATTCTATTTTGTTTTGGTTTCATTTTTATGAAAATACCTGGTGTTAGCCAAGACTGTCTAAAGTCCTATCATATACTGCTAGCGGGGGATAAAAAACAGTGCAGGTATATTGGAAGTCAATTTTTCCATATTTTAATATATAAGTCAGATCTTATCTCTCCTCTGCTCAAAACTTTCCAAAGACCTACCCACAGAGTCAAAGCTAACGTTCAGAAAGGCCTACGGATTCTACACGGTCTGTCATCCTCTAACCCTGCTCAATCACCACTGTTCTGGCCATACAGCCTATTGTTCTCCCCAACTCACTCCACTCCAGCCACACTGACTTCCTTTTGATTCCCCAAATATCCCATACATGTGCCTGGCTCATATATATTTGCAATTACTTATGCCTGGGATGCTCCTCTCTGGATGTATAAATGGCTCCCTTCATCCCCTCCTTTATGTTTTCCTTCAAATATCACCTTAGTAGGGAGAGCTTCTCTGACCACCTTACATAAATAGTTGCTCCTAATCTCATTACTCTGCATTATTTTCCTCCATAATACACATCACCATCTGACGTGTCATATATATATTTTTTAATTGTCCATTTTTCCTCACAAAACTGTCAGCTTCATGGGTACAGGACAGGGATTATTTGTTTTGTTCACTACTACATATCTAACCCCTACAAGGGAGCCTGGCATATAGTAGATTCTCAATAAATGTGTGCTGACTGAAGGAATACATGTGAAGATGGTCATACCATTTCACCTAGTAACTGTATTTCTAGGAATCTATGCTAAGTAAATAGAAGGTCTATCTGTATAATTTCCTAGGTTTTCCTTCATAACATTACTTATATGAGTAATGAATTAGAAACAATCTCCATGTCTTACTATTATAAGGGAGTTAAACTGTTATACAAAAATGTATATGGAATATTATCCAATCATTTAAAATTATGTCATTATAGAATTATATTAATGACATGGGGGAAATGTTCACGATAGAATATTAAATTGATAAACCATAAAAAAGTTATGGCATTTTTCTGCACTTTAACATTTTCTATAAAGATAAGATTTTAAAAGAAAACAATGTTATTAAGAGAAAAAAAATCAATGACGTTCTTGTAGGGTAACCTAGTTGCAAACAAAATGACTTCTGACTCCATCTGTAGGATAAAATAGCAACAAAATGCAGCAGTGGAACTGAACAAGTAGACACGAAACTTTTAAAAAATTGAGGACGTAAATTATTTCATTGGTCCAAGTGAATGTTAAGTAGTTCCTACTGAAACATACGTAACAGGGTCATTTGTTTTTATGACCTGGTTCATTTTAACAAAATCTGCTGTTGGCTTATAGATAGATAGTACTTGTCTTGGATATTTTTATGTCAGGGCAAAAAGCAAGCATCCAATTTATCTAAAAAGATAATAAATCCACAAAATTTAGATTACTTACAAATAACTGTGGTGTAAGGTACACATGGGAGACATGAAACAGTTAAATACTGGGCCCAACAGTTATGTGGATGTTATATTTGCTTCGGGGATATTTGCCCCAATAGCCAGGAAGCACCCAGAGAAAAAGAGTAATGAGTAAACATGTTCCAGAAAGCCTCCTTGCCTAGAACCAGGAAGTTCTGACCAGAAAACTTTACCTAGAACAAGACCAGTAGACATCCTACCACATTCACAGAAGGCATTCCAGAGCATAAGGGAGTTAACACAGCAGGCAAGCATTGCATGGATGTGTGTGCTTGCAATTAAGAATAAAACGCGGCAAGAAGAGAGTACTAGAAATGCAATCACCAAACTCTGCGAAATGAAGGCAGGAGACTTGTATACTTTAAGGACAGAACTTCAAACAGAGAGACTGAGAATGTATCAACATTGATACTAACCTGTCTGGCTGGACCTGGGTAGGATGCAGACATAGATGCTATGGGTCAGAGACAAGGCCATAAAGGAATAGAATCCAGGTCAGGATGCTGACGGGGGCACTTCCAGACATAAAGATCACAACTCAAGTTGCTCATAATGCCTTAAACACAAGTTGGCTCTTAATAACAATAGTAACAATGACTACAACTTGCTTAGCATATATGACATGGCAAGAATTATGCTAGGTGTTTCTTATACTTATCAGTCCTTTTCTTTAACTGTTATTTTAAGTTTGGAGTACAAGTGCAGATTTGTTACATAGGTAAACTTGTGTCATGGGGGTTTGTTGTACAGATTATTTCATCACCCAGGTAATAACCTTAGTACCCATTACTTATTTTTCCTGATTTTCTCCTCTCCTCTCACCCTCCATTCTCCTAAAGGCCCCAGTATATACTTTTCCCCACTATGTGTCCTTTTCAGTAGAATCATTTTATTTGAAGTAAACTCCTTAAGATGGAGGTGGGAGTGCCTGGAATCCACATTGTTCTGTTTGTGAAAGATGTACTACCCTCCTCAGAGTTAGATTAATTCCCATTAGAGGTATATTCTTTTAGTTACTTCTAAACCTTTTACCTTACATTGCAGGATATATACTATCCTGAAGTAAAATCATTATCCTCTGCTCTTATGCTAGAATTGGATGCACCTGCGGCTTCATCAGTCTCTGTCCTGGGCCCTCTCGGGGTTAGTCAGGTAACAAAGGCACATAAACTCAGTGCCCAAACAGGGCCAGCCCTGCCTAAGTGAGGCTCTCCACATTTATTCCTCTCTAAGGCCCCCACTACACATGATTTCTCCTCCAATTAACCATTACTAGATCCTCAAAACTTCTCCTCACTGGACAAGGGATTGAACAGCCTCCTTTGAATGTGCTCAGATTTGGCTATATTCCCCCAATATGTTGCTCCAGAATTTGTACACATGGGGCTATTGGGGGGAGATCTAGTTGAAATGAAAGGCTCCAATCAGAGATACCGTATTTGCATAACACTTTATGGAAGACTGAGAAAATATCATGTCACCAAAACACAAATTACAGGGAAAATATGGGTAAAGGGGGATGCGGACAGTGATGAATATTTTAGGAGGAAAAAATAAATGGTAACACATGGCCACCACTGGACCTGGTTGCAGACAGGACTGAAGGCAGAGATCCAATCTGCACAGAAGATATTAGTATTACCACTTCTTCTGTTTTAGATTGCATACTTCTGTTATTGCCGCTAAGATTAACTTTTATTAAATTTATGATCAATTAAAATTCTCAAAGTCTATCCCTCTTGTCAAGTTTGTTTGTGAAGCCAGAGGCATGGCAGACATTTCCCCTTTATGATTTTGTTTGAATTGGCCATTCTTTCAAGCTGTCAAAATCTTTTTGTATCCCAATGCATTAGCTATCTCTAAAACATTAGCAGTCTCTTCCAGTCTCATACCATTTGCAAATTTGCACTACAGAATCATTTGCTTGAAAAACATATATGCACATGTGCAGTGAAAGCTAAATAAATGTGGTTAGTTTTCAAATTCTAGCATTCCATTTAGCTTTCTTGAATCCATAATAAGGCAACCGTTGTCTTAATGACTCAATAAATCACTGCATGCAATTTGGAGCAAACGTATGAACTTTAATGTAAAAGGTACTAGAGGTTAATCATTGAAGTCTGAAATTGAAACATAGACTCTGTATAACTTGACACTGAGAAAATCATGGTTTCCAACACCCTTGGAAATAAAAATAACCTCTAGCTCGAGAAAAGGTAAGAGGAAGGTGAAAGGTTACAAATGTGAGCAACATTAAGTGATGCTTTCACATTCAAACCCAACTCACACAAAATGTCACCCAATACAGTGAGCAGTACAGGAAGAAGAATCCCTCTCCTTCTGTAAGAGCATCTACCAGATTTGTGTGCTCGGGGCAACTTTCTTTATATTCTCATCAGAGAGTATCCATGAGTTAGCATTATCTACCTCCTGGTACAATGGCCTTTTCTGTGGTGTAAATATCTTTACTCATGGAAATAAACATACCAAGCAAGTTAGGAAATTTGTTAGTAGACACCTGAAATTACAAGTTCTGAGGACAAAACAAAATCCTGGAGTCTCAGTGTTCCAGTGGATTCTGGACCCACACTTGACCTGCTTATTCAATACAAAGTAAGACCTGGGATCTGATAAACAGGGATTTTACTCTCATCTTGAGGACTTTATGAAGAGCCAGTGGGCCTAGATTTTAGTACTGCCACTAGCTAGTTCTTTTCCCTTGAGAAAGTTGGAATTCTGTACAATGACAGAATTCCATTGTCATTGTCTATACAATGACAATGACATATTGGATGATACGAATGACTACCAAACTTTAAAAGAAAAACAGTTAAAATTTCAAAAATGCAAATGGAATCTTATGACAACTCACTTAATAGATGAGATTAAAAGCATATAAACAGGTGCTCTGGGTGAAATAATGTGGTAGCCCACATACCTGCCAATTTAGCTCCAGAAGCTCCCCTGAGAGACTTCTAAAACTTCTAAAACTTCTATAAGCACATTTTAAAACCATTAACAAGGCCCCTTCAATTCTGGCTTATGATAGAAGGAACCTAAGCCATGATCAGTTCCAACATTCTATGGATGTATGAAGCAGAGCTTGGAGACTATAAAAGATTAAAAATATTAGTTATAATCATAGTGACTACCATTTATCGAGATACCATTCCACTTGACTTTACTGCTAAGGAGACTGATGATCACAAAAGTCAAGTGGCAAAGTCAGGTTTTAAACATAAGCCTGATATGTTTTTCATAATACACTAGAGTGTGATATGTGCTAAAGTAGCTCTAGCTACCAAATATAGTATGGTCACAAGAAAGGATGGGGTAAGTTCCACTTGAGGAAGTAAGAGAAGCATCACCTTTATCTGACTTTCAAAAAGTCAACAGCAATTAAAACAAACCTGGGAAAGGAATTAGGGGCCCTGAGCACAACTTCTGCAATGTCAAGGAGGTGTGGAACATCATGCAGCAGGGGAAATTAGTTGGAGACAAGACTGCACACATAGACAAACAAGAGTCTGATTGTGAAGACATCCATCAGCATCCCATAATAAGGAATTTAGACTTTTTTCTTTGGGGTTGACACCACTGCAATGTTTAAAACAGTAGTATGAGATCATTCCTCTTCCAGGAGCACTCCAACTTTTTTCCTTTCTCTTTCTTGAGGGATCAGCTGAAATATCATTGACTCTGAAAAGTCATTACTTACCCTTCTTTTTCCCTTTTTGAGATGGAGTATTGCTCTTGTCGCCAGGCTGGAGTGCAACGGCATGATCTCGGCTCACTGCAACCTCCGCCTCCTGGGTTCAAGCAATTCTCCTGCCTCAGCCTCCCGAGTAGCTGAGATTACAGGCGCCCGTCAACACGCCTACTAATTTTTGTATTTTTAGTAGAGACGGGGTTTCGCCATGTTGGTCAGGCTGGTCTTGAACTCCTGACCTCATGATCCGCCTGCCTTGGCCTCACTAATTGCTGGGATTACAGGTGTGAGCCATCACCGCACCTGGCCTACTTACCCTTTTTCTAAAACCTAAGATCCATGAGAGGTGAGGCCTCATCATTCTGGATCACCGTTGTATCCCCAGCACCTAGAAGAGTCCCTAACACAAAGTAAGGGCTCAATAAATATTTGTTGCACGAATGAAGAACTCAAAGTCTGATTGCAAAGCTTGGACTCACAATCACTGTGCCTGCTTTGTTTGTGACCCCACCTTGAAATGAATAGAGGATACTGTGTTGGAAATGGCAAGGTATCCAAAAAACAAAGCAAGTATGAAAACTTCTTATAGTCTAGTAAGTTTTGTAACGACTTTAAAATGCTGATACTTATCTAGGTCTACCTATCTCACTAGGGGGGACCTTTATATCCTGAGGAAATTTGCCCTATTGTCTTCATCTTCCAGAATTTGTGATGATTTGAATGACTTTCTTTGATGCATTAAAGTCATAACCACATCCTTTTAAAGATAAAATTCATTCCATCTTTCCAACAAAACAAAGTAGAATGAATCTAACTGTCTGGAAGGAGGCTTATTATCTCTGGAAAGTTACTTTGCCTGTGTTTCCTAACTTTTAAGAGAAATCGTAATAGTTCCTCTCTCATAGAGTGGTAGTGAAGATCGAACCAAATAGTACACTTATTACACTTAGCATAGTGCTTGGCACACAGAAAATCCTCAGTCAGCATCATCTTTTGTCATCATTATTGTTACTGGTGGCATTACAAGGCATTTATGAGAAATTGCAATGCATCCTTGTGAGGGGAGCTAGATTTCCCTTTCATAAACCCAACCCTCCTTTTATGGCAGGTTCTAAGGCCTGACCACAAAGGCTACAGATTTGGTGTCTGTACTTCCCAGACAATACCCTCAAGCCTCTCTTTCATTTGTCTTTTCCCCTAATAGACCATTCACCACTAATTACTTACAATCATTTTCTGCTGCACAGTTTTATATGTGCTTATTATGTTCACAGCTGTCTTGCCCAGCAAGAATAGAAATCTTTTATCTCATTATCGTACCTGAGTCTCCTGATTACAATTCCCTTGCCTTCCAAACTAATTTCCTCCAAGAGGCTCTTTTGACAAGGTAGGATTTTCCTTCCCCCTCATCCCTTCTTTTCTTTTCTCCACAAACCCTGTAGTGAAAGAGAGACCTTGAATAGATAAAGAACACAGAAACTTTATCATATAAGTTAAACTAGTTAAACTATGAGATGTGGTTATGGTATAAAATATGGTCAAATGTTGATTTGCCTTGTGGAGGATCCACTCTGAAAAATGAGTTTATTTATTTGGAAATATTTAGCACATTCTCTGTTCAAGTTTCTGGGTATTTGGCTGTGAACCAAACATACCAAATCCTTCCCTTTCATGAAACTGATATACTCGTAGGGGACAGAAAACAAATATGGATATTTCATCAGATACTGATCTGTTTTTAGACAAATAAAACAGGATAAGTGGATAGAAAGTATCAGGACACTGCTTGAAAAATTTGGTCACAGCTTTCTAAGGAGGTTCTATTTGACAGTCAGAAGCTCTTACACAACTTCAAAGATTTGGTGCCTCCCAAATCCCCAAGACCCTTGGGGAAAGGCAAAGGGCTATAAACAGACCAGGGGATCATGGGGAAAGGGAAAAGGGAGGAAATTCCCAAATGCTCAGGCAAGATTGACTCTGCATGGAAGATGGAGGAGGATATTTGTACTTTGCTGGACATCACGAAAGAGTACCTCAACTAACAGGTGAACTAGTTGAGCTAGTGAAATTTCTGTTAGCATTTCAAACTTCCAGATCTGTAGAGTCAGGTATGTTAAACTTAGAGTTAGATTGAAGAAAAGCACTGTGGAAAATAGAAAATGACTGTCCCATTTTCTATTTCAATGACTGTTCCATTGTCCTGGAAGAAAATGACTTCTTCCAGGTTCCAGTGGGACAGGCCTCCACTTGTTGAGTGGATGAGCAGTTTCAGATGGTGTACTAGTCAGGGTTCTCTAGAGGGACAGAACTAATAGGATAGATGTATCTATAAAGAGGTGTTTATTAAGGAGTATTGACTCACATGAGCACAAGGTAAAGTCCCACAAGAGGTTGTCTGCAAGCTGAGGAGCAAGGACGTCAGTCTGAGTCCCAAAGCTGAAGAACTTGGAGTCCGATGTCCGAGGGAAGGAAGCATCCAGCACAGGAGAAAGATGTAGGCTGGGAGGCTCAGCCAGTCTAATCTTTTTCATGTTCTTCTCCCTGCTTTTATTCTGGCTGCACTGGCAGCTGATTAGATTGTGCCCACCCAGACTTAGGGTGGATCTGCCTTTCCCAGTTCACTATCTCAAATGTTAATCTCTTTTGACAACACCCTTACAGACACACCCAGGAACAATACTTTGCATTCTTCAATCCAATCAAGTTGACACTCAATATTAACCATCACAGGTGGTGACTATCAAGCAGCCACCTCAGAAAGACGAAAAAGATAGAAGGAACATTTGGAAGAAAAGGAAAAGAGTAAACCAAACCTTCTGATTGTTCCTGTAGGCCAGAGAAAACTGCCTCTCTGAAGATCAAGGAAATAAGGGCGGCAACCACAAACATTTGGGTTACCACAGCATTCTGTTACGTTTACTAATAAAATGTATTCTTTTCCAAGAGGTGTTTAAGTTCTTTACAGTTTACAAAGTATTTAACTGTTTAAAGCTACTTTCATATACATTATTTTGTTTGATCTTCTTCCAGACAGACAAAGCAGGCATTGTTATCCAATTTGTTATACGAGGAAGTTCAGTCTAAGTGACTTGCCTGAAGTCCTCCCAGTGAGTGGAGGATTAGAACCCAGGACTTTCTGCCTCCATAACCAACTGTTTGCTAAGCTCCTATCTTAAGCCATAAGCCCAGAATTTTATGAACACCAAGATACTTAAATCATCAAGAACTATGTTTGCATAAATGATTTCTAAGAAATTGAGTATAAATAAACATTTTTTAATATAGTCCCTTTGAATTTAAAGTTAACAGAAACCCACAGAGAAAAAAAGACTCCATTCAAATCTCACACCCTATGCAAAATTAACTCAAAATGGATCATAGACCTAACATAAAATGCAAAACTATAAAACTTCTATTAATAGAAGACATAAGAAAAAATCTTCAGAACCTTGAGCTACATGAAAAGTTCTTAAATATGCCACCAAAGTATGATCCATAAAAGGAAAAAACAGATAAATCAGACTTCATCAAAATTAAAAACATTTTATCTGAAAAGAACCCTATTAAGTGGATGAAAATACAAGCTATAGACGGGGGAAAAAGTTTACCAACCGCGTATCTTAATATATGTATAAGTGTATATATATGTGTATATATATGTATTATACATAAGTGTATATACTTATATATGTATATATAAGTGATATAATATATTGTATATACATATATCATATATACTTATACATATTAAATTATATATAATAAAGTACATTTTATATATATACATTACATATACTAGGGTATATATATACTTATATATATGTAAGGATCCTTATATTCTTATATATATAAGGATCTTTGCATATACACATGTATTCTCATATACTTATAAGGATCCTTACATATATACTTATATATATATATATACACACACACACATATATAAGGATCCTTATATATAAGTATACATTATATACATTACATACTTATATATACATTATATACTTATATATTTAATTAATATAATGAATCCTTATATACTTATATATATGTAAGGATCCTTACATGTATACTTATATATATACTTACATATATATACACACACACACATATATATATAAGTATACATGTAAGGATCCTTACATGTATACTTATATATTTAATGTATATAATGAATCCTTATATACTTATATATATATCCTTATATACTTATATGTATACTTACATATCCTTATATACTTATATATGTACTTATCCATATATACTTATATATTTAATGTATATAATGAATCCTTATATACTTATATATATGTAAGGATCCTTACCTATATACTTATATTATGTAAGGATCCTTACATGTATACTTATATAGATACTTACATATCTATAAGTATATAGGTAAGGATCCCTACATATATGTAAGTATATAGGTAAGGATCCTTACCTATATACTTACATATTTGATGTATATAATGAATCCTTACATACTTATATATATATCCTTATATACTTATATATATACTTATATATCCTTATATCCTTATATACTTATATATATACTTATATATCCTTATATCCTTATATATCCTTATATATATGTACTTATACATATATACTTATAAATTTAATGTATATAATGAATCCTTATATACTTATATGTATGTAAGGATCCTTATATATATACTTATATATTTAATGTATATAATGAATCCTTATATACTTATATATATGTAAGGATCCTTACATATATACTTATATATATGTAAGGATCCTTACATATATACTTATATATATGTAAGTATATATATAAGTATACATATATAAGGATCCTTACATGTATACTTATATATATGTAAGTATATATATAAGTATACATGTAAGGATCCTTACATATATATAAGTATATAAGGATTCATTATATACATTAAATATATAAGTATATATGTAAGGATCCTTACATATATATAAATATATAAGGATTCATTATATTAATTAAATATATAAGTATATAATGTATATATAAGTATGTAATGTATATAATGTATACTTATATATAAGGATCCTTATATATGTGTGTGTGTATATATATATATAAGTATATATGTAAGGATCCTTATAAGTATAGAAATACATTATGTATATACTTACATATATATATAAGTATATATGTAAGTAAGTATATATAAGGATCCTTACATATATATAAGTATATAAGGATATAAGTATCCTGGTATAAATGTATAAGTATCTTAGTATATATAAAGAACTCTGAAAACTCAACAGAAAATGAATTCCATGTAGAAAATGGCTAAAGGCTGGAACAGACATTTCACTGAAGGGGATATACAGATGGCAAATATGCACATGAAGAGATATTCAAAATTGTTAGGGAAATTAAATCAAAACCAAAATGAGATATTACTGTACACCTTTAGAATGCCTAAATTTTTTTAAAAAGTGACAACACCAAATGCTGGCCGTATTGTGAGGAAACTAGATCACTTATACATGGCTGGTGGATATAAAACAGTACAGCCACTCTGGAAATGAGTTTAGCAGTCCTCTTACACAACTAAAGATGTGCTTACGGTATGACCTAGTAATTACAGTCTTGGTCACTTACCCTGAGAAATGAAATCTCCTGCTTACATAAAAATAAGTACAAAAAAGTGTTTAGCAGATTTATTTGTAACGGACAGAAACTGGAAACGAAGCCCAGATGTCCCTTAGCAAGTGAATGGTTAAAACAAAATGTGGTACATCCATACCACGGAATACTGCTGAGCCATAAAAGTAGAACAAATTATTGACACACTTACCAATGTGGATGGGCCTCATATATATGCTGAGTGCAAATAGCCAATTTCAAAGGGGTAAATAATACATAATTCTATTTACACACTATTCTTTAAATGACAAAAGTATAGAGATGGAAAGATATCAGTGGTTTCCAAGAGTTAGTGATGTGGGAGAGTAGTGTGGACGTGAAAATAAATAGTAAACTAAACAAGGGAAATCTTTGTGTTAATGGAACAGTTCTGTATCTTGATTGCAGCGATTATATGAATCTATACATAAAACTGCATAAAACTACACACACACACACACACACACACATACACACGAATTCATATAAAACTGACGAAATGTGCAGACAAATGTTCTGCCCCTGAGCTATACCCCCATAACTGGTGAAACCCAAATAAGCTATTTGGACTATACCAATGTCATTGTCTTGGTTTTGATATTGTACTATAGTTATATAAGATGTTAACATTGACAGAGGCTGCATGAAAGGTAATGGGGCTTCGATGTACTATTTTTGCAATTTCCTGAAAATCTAAAACCATTTCAAAATTAAACTTTAAAAAATAAGTTAATGAGATCTTTGCATAGTACTGAACAGAATTATTTTCACAAGAAAACATTCTAGAGAACAAAAACAGTATACCACAGCATGGCGTGGTAGAAAAAAATGACTAGACCAAGAATTAGAATACCTTGAACCACTATTTAACCTCTGTGATTTCCACAGTTTTGTCTTTGTAGTTCAGCTTCTTTCCTTCTTCCAATTAGAAACTCTGCTCCCCTGACCTATCTGGGAGCAGAGATAGGTGTCTATCTGACCTTGGCCAGGCCAATCACAATGCTACGTCTCCTTTAGATGCAGGTTTTGATCCAAGATATGGCGCATAATCCAAACCAGGCCACTCAGAATCTGCTATCCTGAGTTGGTATTAAACGGGACAGGGAGAGGCTTTCTCTTCTCCCCTGAATTTCAAAAAAGCAAGAACGTGACCACTGTGACTTCCAGCGACCATGTCCCCAGCTGAGTGAAGAAATCTGAAAGACATAAGTCAACATGCAGATAGGTCTTGCAATAGGACCTGGGGACAGAACAAGCAAAGCATCAAGGAGTAAAATAGTCCAATTGCCATGGAAGGCCCTGGATCCACTAGATCCTGAGGCATACAGCTCTGCCCATCCTTCCCAGATACCTAGGCCAATACATTTAATTACAGCAGATGTAAGTGTATGTTAGATATGCAACTAAAAGTTTTCTGAACCGTGTGATCTCTTAGAGTCTCAATTTTGTCATCTATAAAGTGGGAATATTTGACATACTTGCCTCAAAATTTTGCAGTTATCAAAGGAGACAGCACACGTGAATGTTCTTTACAGCAGTATACAAATGTAAGTGATTAGTATCCATTATTATAAAAAAGGAAACTATCAAAAACATCCAGCTCATTTTTAATGAGTGCATTCCAGCAATTTCAAAAGCAACACTGAGAGTAAGAAACAAACACTAAATGCTACCATAAATAGAAAAGAAACAGATTATTATGATTCATGTTCAATGAGTCATTAATGACTCAGAAAAAAAGCAAGCAGAAAGCAACATTCAAATATATACAAAAATCTTCTCTAGAGTTTAAAAATTGAATAAATCTTTAAAATGTAGAAATTTGCTGAGAAAAAGGTCCTGTGTCACAGTCCTTTAAATTGTGATATACTTCCACTTTGATCAGAAACATCTTGTTTATTGTATGTTGCCGCTTTACACATGGCACATAATGACCAAAGTCTCTAACTCTTACATGAACTAAATACCTCAGTATGTTGCCTGTTTCTTTGTTTTCATCTTAAATGGGTCAAATTTCAATTGAGTTCAAGATGGCTTCATTTTCCTAAATTACAAAAATCCCGACCAGATTCCTTATTGATATTAATTAAATGTGATTTAAAGCTAGACATCTACTTGTAATCAGTAAGTCCACAAGACAGTTCAAACTGGGAGGGCTTTGCCCAGCATTGGCAGCCTAAAACCCTGTGAAAGATGCAGTAGGTGGGTAAATCTACCCTCAGCACTCAAGAGTCAAACTGGACCCCAGGAGCTAAATGCAGCATAGATAAGTAGGTGGTTACTCGTCTAAATATGCAAGGCAACATTTGTACTGGATGAGAGTGAGAAATCAAGGACACCAAAGCCCAGAAAGGAAAACAAAGAAAGAAATGGGTATCAGCCACCCTGTGAGCCTGTGAAGTGTCTAGCATCATATAATCTTTATCACCCACAGTAAGATAAGTAGTAGTTGAAAGTGTGAGTGGAAAAGGAACCAATGAAAGGGTGGTTTCTTCACAATGATAACTCTTGGTAGATTTACTCTTAGCAAGTGGTTTATTTATTTTCCAGCAATTGTCACTCGTAACAAGTCAATTCTTAGTTCTCAAGCTATACTTTCAACACTTCCTGGAATGGAAAGGAATGGCCATACATTTCCTTTACTATCAAGCCTTCACGCTCAGCCAAAGCAAATCCCATCTTGCATTGGAGGGCCTCAGTAATGGCAATAATGCTGACCACCATTTATTGCATTCTCATTCTCTCTCAAGGCAGAATAGAATGGTGGTTAAACACACAGACTTACACTGAAGAGTAATCTACCTTGATTCTAATCCCAAGTCTACCATATACTCATTCTGAAACCCATCAGTATGCCACTTCCCTCTGTGCCCATCTACTTGCTGTGGTGTGCCAGAGACTACCTGCTCTGCCTTCCAATTCAGAATTGCTATCACATAGGTGGTTCTGTGGGTTTCTGTTCTCTAAGACAAGACAGAGAACAGAGCAGGCTCTTCCCTGTTACATAGCTGCTTTTTATCCCTGAAAGTAAATCCACATATCTTTTGTTTTTGAGAGGTATACTTTTACTGTACCCTCTGGAATGACAAAAAGCATCAGAGTTCACAAGAACCATCACAAAAGGGACTCACAATTAAGAGACAGTAGAAACACTCTTCTGACATGAGACATCTGAGAGAAATATGGTTACAGAACAAAATTAAAATGATGCAAACTTTGACAATGTAAACATAATGTCATTGGGGCTATTTTAGAGGCTGCCTACCAGAAACAGAATTTAAATAATAAGAATTCCAATTATTTGTTGCCTTGTTGTTTTTTTAATAACATTTTTCTTATCCTACAATAGATGTTGCAGGACCTAATATTTAATTTGGAGAAGCAATGTTTGAAGTTTAAAGATTACTTCATTTATACTGTTTCTTTTTTGCTTCTATTAAATTAAGTAGAACTGAATTTAATGCCTATTATGAAAAATAGCCATTAGGGTATGATAGCAATTTGTAAAATTATCTCTCTATCTAGCTATATAAATGCCTAAGATCAATATATGTCATTATAGTTATTAATGTCAAAATGAACTAGATAATTGTTTTTGTCAGTAATGAAAGGCCAAGGACACCCGCAGAAAATGCACAAGAAAGGAAAATCTTCACTAAAGAGACATTTCGACCCCCAAATTTTTAGTCACTAATGCTTCAGAACAGACCCCTTAGCCACTGCCCTTATTTTACAGATTAAGATCATGATATAAAGTAAAACTCATTTCCTTCATTGGCTAAAATAAAGAGGAATTAATTGGTGCTTCCAATAAAACCATCAAATCAAGGATCGAGGATTTTATATTTAGATTCTTTTTTAAAATTTTGGATTCAGTGGATACATGTATAGCTTTGTTACATGGGTATATTACATAATGCTGAGGTTTGGGGTGCAGATGGTCCCATCACCCAGGTAGTGATCATAGTACCCAATAGGTAGTTTTCAGCCCATGTTCTCCTCCCTCCCTCCCCCCTCTAGTAGTCCCCAGTATCTACTGTTCCTATCTTCATGTCTATGTGTATTCAGTATTTATCTCCCCATTGTAATTGAGAATATGAGGTATTTGGTTTTATGTTTCTGCATTAATTTGCCTAGGTTAATGGTCTCCAGCTATATCCATGTTGCCACAAAGAACATGATGTCATTCTTTTTAAAGGTTGCATATTATCCCATGTACCACATTTTCTTGATCCAGTCTACCATTGATGGGCACTTGGGTTGATTCTATGTCTTTGCTATTATGAATATTGCTGCAGTGAGCATACAAGTGCATGTGTCTTTATGATGGAATAATTTATTTTCCTTTGGATATATAGCCAGTAATGAGATTGCTGGGTCAAATGGTAGTTCTGTTTTAAGTTCTTTGAGAAATCTCCAAACTGCTTTCCACAGTGGCTGAAGTAATTTGCATTCCAACGAACAGTGTATACATGTTCTCTCTTCTCTGCAGCACCTGTTATTTATTTATTTATTTATTTATTTATTTATTTATTTATTTATTTATTTTTGAGACAGAGTCTCACCCTGTCACCCAGACTGGAGTGCAGTGGCGCAATCTTGGCTTACTGCAACCTCTGCCTCCTGGGTTCAAGCAGTTCTTCCTGCCTCAGCCTCCCGAGTAGCTGGGATTACAGGTGCCCACCACCATGCCCAGCTAATTTTTGTATTTTTAGTAGAGACAGGGTTCTACCATGTTGGCCAGGCTGGTCTCAAACTCCTGACCTCAGGTGATCTGCCCAACTTGGCCTCCCAAAGTGCTAGGATTACAGGCGTGAGCCACCATGCCCGGCCAGCATCTGTTATTTTTTGGCCTTTCTAATAATCATCATTCTGACTAGTGTGATATGACACATCACTTTGTTTTTGATTGGCATTTCTCTGATGATTACTGATGTTAAGCATTTTTTCATGCTTGTCGGCCACTTGTATGTCTTCTTTTGATAAGTGTCCATTCATGTCCTTTGCCCATTTTTAAATTGGATTATTTGGTTTTTGCTTGTTAATTTAAGTTCCTTGTAGATTTGGGATTCAGCATTTTAGAGAGGAAAAAGCACTAGACTATGAATGGGAGATACCTGAGTGCTAGTTCTAGTCCTACCACTAAATTGCTATGTGGTCTTGACAAAGTCTAGTTCCCCCTGTAAAGAATGGCTCAAGATGATCTAGGAAAAGAAAACGGCACTACAATCAAGAGATTTTGAAAATCCTGAATACTGTATTCCTCTTTTGGGGTTTCCCAATGAACATTATTGTATTAAGGATTCAAGTACTCCTGAAGTAAAGAAGTATGTTTAAAAGTATTTAATCTAAAGATTCTCAGTTTATAAAGCATTTTATGTCATATAACCTTTCTTTAATATCACTATAACCCTATGAAGAAAGAACTGTGACTTTACAGATGAGAAAATTTTTACTTAATAGTAACCTAAGATCACATTAAGAAGATCAGAGTCAGATTGTGTTTTCATTTTAGAAAAATGTATAATTTACATTTGAGTTCTAATTCTACCAGCGTAAACATACAGTAACCACGCTTCAAAATATGTAACTGGAGAATAGAACGTTGCTGTTTACTAATATCAAAATGACCACACTCTGCAAAACAGGGCAGTAAATGACTCCTTCACATGAAGCCAAAGTAAGAGATCAAATTGCACTTTGAGCAAATGCTTTATTTTTCATTCTTCCAATAAATCCTTCCACTGCTCAGTCACTTCCAGAAGCAATTATATTTTAAATCATGTAATTTTCAACTAAATGTATTATTCAAAAAGTGATAACATTTTTCATCTGTTGCTTCATGAATTCTGTTATTTTTTTGTTGCAAATAAAGGTACAAGAATTAAAGTTTGAAACTGCCCATAGGCCTAATACGGATAACTTATCAAATAATTACAAAATGCAAGCACAAAGGGAACCTTACTAGGCTATGAGCAAAGAAAATGTATGCAGTATTTTAATAGAGAGGAAACATTTTTGGTTTAACATCCAATTATTAAAGAAAAACAAGTAATGATAACACCACCAATACAAGAGTAACCATTTACTGAATATTTATGATTTTCTTAGGCACTGACCTGAGTGCTTTACATATTTCATTTTATCCTCACAACCACCTACAGTTTAGGCACTATTAGTAGTCTTACGTAACAATGAAAAAAAAAACAGCTAATGTTCAGAGTAACAAAGTGTCACACAGCAAGCAAGTGGTGTAGTCAGAACAGGACCAAACATTCTTCTCTTAATTTCTACAATATATGCTATTCATAATCTGCTTTTCTATGTGTACCTTATTTAAAACATAAATCTAATGTATAAAAAAGAAAAGAGATATAACATGAGGCAATTTAATAGCACCTTAGTGAAAAAACTAGCTGAAAATCCAAAATGGCCTGTGACTTTGCGTTTGCATGAACAACACCTCAGTACACAGTGATGCATTCTGATATTAGGTTAATTCATACCATCTTAAACTGAAACCTCAAAGGATCCTTGGTAGTCACCTAGTCTTATCTCCCATCAGATATTTTCAATAGCCTTCTTTTTTTTTTTTCCAATAGCCTTCTTAATGCCATATAGCCTTAACTTGCCTGCCCCTTCCTGACATGAAATTAATTTGCTCACAAGACAGAACATTTTACTTTTGAACATCTTGAGATGTATTACACTGTAAATCATTATTTGAGGCCAAATTGTTCTGCTTTTAAATTGTACTCAGGATCTGCCTCTTCTGGCCCTTACTAACTTGCTCCCTGCCACTCTGGGGCTGAGTAGAGGGGTAAGAGGACTGTGCACCCCACAAATTAGCCCATGGAGGAGACAGAAAGCTTCACCAACTAAACTACTCAGCAGCGTTGGCCACATATAGCTCTTACCTATAAGTGCCATCTATTGGTTTGTAGGTCAAATTGCACAGCCCAATATAAAACATGCTGACAGAAGTACAGAAGGCTATAGAAGAAAAGCCAAAAGACCCCACTCAGCAGTTCCTATAGTTGTACCCCTTAGGGAGTAGAGGAAGAAAAAAGAGAAGAAAAAAAGCAACATTGGAAGAAAAGAGAGACAAAGAAAAAAATCCTACCTACAAAAAATAATTACAAAACTTAGAAGTGCCAGCATCTCCAGATAAGAAGGGACCAGTGCAAGAATTTGGCACTATGAAAAATCTTAATAGAGTGGCACAACCAAAGAATCACACTAGCTCTCCACCAATGGTCCCTAACAAAAATGGAAACTCAGGAAATGACAGATAAAAATTCAAAGCAGGGATTGCAAGGAAGCTCAATGAGATCCAAGGCAAGGTTGAATATCAACACAAAAAAACTTCTAAAGCAATCCAGAAAAATGAAGGAAGAGATAAACGTCTTAAAAACAAATCAATTAGAGCTTCTATAATTGAAAAAGCTCGCTTAAGGAATTTCAAAATGCAATCAAAAGCTTTATCAAAAGACTAGATCAAGTAGAAGAAATAATTTCAGAGCTGAAAGTCTTTCAAACTAACCCAGTCACACAAAAATAAAGAACTTTTTAAAAATGAACAAAGTCTGGGAGAAATATGAGACTATCTGAAGCAACCAAACCTATGAATTGTTGGCATTCCTGAGAAACCTTGAGAACATATTTAATAAAAATAATTCAAGAAAATTTCCCTAATCTCACTAAAGAAGTAGACATCCAGATACAAGAAATCCAGTGAACACCTGTGCAATACAATACAAAACAAATGTCACCAAAGCATATAGTCACCAGACTATCTAAGGTCAATTCTAAAGAAAAAAATCTCAAAGACAGCTAGAGAAATAGGCGAGATCACATACAGAAGGAACAGCTATCAGATGTTCTATCATCTACCAGAACTATCAGACTAACAGCTGAATTCACAGCAGAAATCTTACGAGCCAGGATATATTGAGGGCCTATTATCAGCATTCTAAAAGACAAGAAATTCCAACCAAGAATTTCATATCCTACCAAACTAGGCTTCATAAGAGAAAGAAAAATAAATCTTTTCTAGACAAACAAACCCTAAGGAAATTTATTTCCACTAGAACAACCTTACAAGAGATCTTTAATGAAGTTCTAAATATGGAAATGAAAGAACTGTATCTGCTACCACCAAAACACACTTAAGTACATAGCACACAGACCCTATAAAGCAACCACATAAAAGAAATTACAAAGCAATCAGCTAACAACTACACACTAGGATCAAAACCTCACACATCCATATTAACTATGAATGTAACTGCTCTAAACACCCCACTTAAAAGGCACAGAGGGAAAGTTGGATATAAAAGCAGGACGCGCCCAAGTGCTGTCAAAAAAAAAAAAAAAAAAAAAAAAAAAAAAGACCCATCTACATGTAATGATACCCACAGGCTCAAAGTGAAGGGTTGGAGAAACATCTATCATGCAAATGTAACACAAAAAAATAGTAGGCATCACTGTTGTTATATCATAAAAAATAGACTTGAAACCAACAATAGTACAAAAGGACAAAGAAGGGTATTACATAATGATAAAGGGTTAAATTCAACAGGAAAACTTAACTATCCTAAATATATACACACCAAATATTAGAGCACTGAAATACATAAAACAAGTACTTCTAGACCTACAAAAAGAATTAGCCACACAATAATAGTGGGGGACTTCAATACCCAATTGATACAGTTACATCATCAAGGCAGAAAACTCTCAAAGAAACTCAACTTAAATTCAACACTTGACCAATTGGACCTAATAGAAACCTATAGAATACTCCACTCATCAACCAAAAAATATGCATTCTTCTCATCTGCATATGGAACACACTGAAAGATCAAGCACATGCTCAGCCATAAAGCAAATCTAAATAAATTTGAAAAAAAAATAGTACCAACCATACTTTTGGACCACAGTGGAATAACAACGCAAATCAATAGCAGGAAGGTCTCTCAAAGCCATGCAGTCACATGGAAGTTAAACAGTTTGCTCCCGAATGACTTTTGGGGAAAGAACAAAATTAAGAAATAAAAAAATTGAAATAATCAAAAATGGAAACACAACATAACAAAATATTTGGAATGCAGCAAAAGTAGTGTTAAGCAAAAAGTGTATACCACTAAATGCCTACCTTAAAAAGTTAGAAAGATATCAAATTAATGATCAAATATCACACCTAGAGGAACTAGAAAAACAAGAACAAATTAAACCCAATGATAGCAGAATGAAAAAAAAGTAACCACAATTAGAGACAGACTGAAAGAAATTGAGACCCAGAAATCCATACGCAGAATCAACAAAGCCAAAAATGGGTACTTTGCGAGGGTAAACAAGCTTCATAGTCTGATAGTGAGATTAACACAGAAAATAGAGAGGAAGGGCGGAAGAAGATGGCAGGGCAGAAGTCTCCACTGATTATCCCCCAAACCCCACAAGAACAACAATTTAATAGCTATCTACACACACAAAAAAAGCACCTTTGTAAGAACCAAATATCAGATGAGCACTCACCGTACCTGGTTTGAATTCCATATCTTTAAGAGAAGAACAGAAAAAAAAACAGAAAAAATCAGTCTTAAATCACTGATGCCACCCTTCCCCAATCCCCTGGCAGCAGTAGAGTGAGGCAGAGAGCATTTCCGTGCCCTGGGGAGAGGGACAGCCATCAGTTGTGAGGCCTTGAAATCAATGTTGCCCTTGTTATAGCAGAAGGCAAAACCAAACTCAGCTGATGTCTGCCCACAGAGGGTGCATTTAAACCAGCTCTAGCCACAGGGGAATCGCTGATCCTAGCAGTTGGAACTTGAGTTCCTACAAGCCTTGCCACTACAGGCTCGAGTGCTTTGGGGCTCCACATAAATTTAAAAGGCAGTCCAGGCTACAAAGACTGTAACACCTAGGTGAGTCCTAGGACAGAACTGGGCCCAGTGACAGTGGACTGGGTGGGTACGTAAGACACCAGTCAGGGTGGCTAAGGGAGTGCTGGCATCAAACCTCCCCTAATAGCAGGCTGCACGGCTCACAGCTCCAAAAGAGACCCCTTTCTTAAACTTGAGGAGAGGAGACAAGAGAGTGGAAAGGACTTTGTTTTGCATCGTGGATACCAGCTCAGTCGCAGTAGGATAGGACACTAGTCAGAGTCATGAGGCCCCCTTTTCAAGTCCTATTCTCTGGACATATATAGACACGCTGACCCAGTAGAGAACCTGTTTCATTGAAGGGAATGACCCAGTCCTGGAAGAATTTATCACCTGCAAACTGACCAGCCCTTGAGTGAGCCCTGAATAAGCAGCAGCAATGCTTAGGTCATACATCAAGGGCTTTGTGTGAGACACTGAGAATTGCCAGCCTCAGGTAAGACACATTCCCACCAGTGGTGGCTACAGGGTGAGAGGCAAGCCTCCTGTTTTGGGAGGGGACCCCAATTCACCATGCCGGTGAGACTCCTTCCACTTCAAAAAAGCAGAGGAAAAAGTAAACAGAAATTTTTATTGCACCTTAGGATCAAGCAGAAATTCTTAAGATGAAAAATGCAATTCACATACTGAAGAATGCATTGGAGCATCTTAATAGCAGAATTGATCAAGCAGAAGAATGAACTAGTGAGCGTGAAGACGGGCTATTTGAAAACACACGGTCAGAGGAGACAAAAGAAAAAAGAATAAGAAACAGTGAAGGGTATGTACAGGCTCTAGAAAATAACCTCAAAAGGGCAAATCTAAGAATTACTGGCCTTAAAGGGGAGGGAGAGAAAAAGATAGGGGTAGAAAGTTTATTCGAAGGGGTAACTGCAAACTTTCCAAACCTAGAAAAAGATATCAATGTCCAAGTAAAAGAAGGCTATAGAACACCAAGCAGATTTAACCCAAAAAAGGCAACCTCAAAGCATTGAATAATCATCCTCCCAAAGGTCAAGAATAAATAAAGAATCTAAAAAGCAGCAAGAGCAAAGAAACAAATAACATACCATGGAGCTCCAATAAACCTGGTAGCAAACTTTTTAGTGGAAAAACTACATACTAGGAGAGAGTGGCATGATATTTTTTAAGTGCTGAAGGAAAAAATCTTTTAGCCTAGAATAGTATATCTGATGAAATTATCCTTCAAACATGAATGAGAAATACTTTCCCAGGCAAACAAAAGCTGAGGGATTTCATCAACACCAGACCCGTGCTACAAGAAATGTTAAAGGGAGTACTTCAATCAGAAAAAGGACATTAATGAGCAATAAGTAATCACCTGAAGTTACAAAACTCACTGATAATAGTAAGTACACAGAAAAACACAGAATATTACAACATTGTAACTCTGTTATGTAAACTTCTGTTATTCTAATTAGGAACATTAAATGATGAAACAAAAGTAATAACTACGACAACTTTTCAAAACAGACAGTACAGTAAGATATAAATAGTAACAATAAAAAGTTAAAAAGTGGGGGGGGGGATGATGTTAAGGTATAGAATCTATCAGTTTTAGCTTGTTTGTTGGTTTATGCAAGCAGAGTTAAGTTGTTATCAACTTAAAATAATGGGTCCTAAGATAGTATTTTCAAACCTCATGGTAACCTGAATCCAAGAAACATACAATGAATACACAAAAAATAAACAGCGAGAAACTAAATCATATCACCAGAGAAAATCACCTTCACTAGAGGAAGACAAGAAGGAAAGAAAAAAGAAAGAAAAGACCCCCCACAAGAAACAGAAAACAAAGGACAAAATAGCAGGAATATGTCCTTACCTACCAATCATAATATCAAATGTAAATGGATTAAACTCTCCAATCAAAAGATATATACTGGCTGAATTGATAAAGCAAGACCCATTAATATGTTGCCTATAAGAAATACACTTCACCTATAAAGACACACAGACTGAAGACAAAGGGGTGAAAAAAGATACTCCATGCCAATGGAAACCAAAAAAGAGCAGGAGTAACTATACTTCTATTAGACAAAGTATATTTTAAGATGAAATCTATGAGAAGAGACAAAGTATGCCACTATATAATAAGGGGTCAACTCAGTAAGAAGATATAATAATTTTAAATATATATGCATCCCACGTTGGAGCATGCAGATATATAAAACAAGTATTACTAGGGCTAAAGAGTGATATAGACTCTGATATAAAATAGCTGGAGACTTCAACATCCCACTTTCAACATTGGACATATCTTCCTCACGGAAAATCAGCAAGGAAACATCAGACTTAATCTGCATTATAGACTAAATGGACCTAATAGATACTTACAGCACATTTTATCCAATGGCTGCAAGATACACATTCTTATCCTCAGCACATGGATCATTGTCAAATATAGACCATATGTTAGGTAACAAAACAAGTCTTAAAGCATTCAAAAAATTTAAAATAATATCAATTATCTTTTCTGACCACAATGGAATAAAACTAGAAATCCATAAAAAAAGGAATTTTGGAAATCATACAAACACATACAATTAAATAATATGCTACTAAATGACCAGTGGGTCAATGAAGGAATTAAAAATAAAATTTCAAAAATTGAAAGAAATATTAAATGGAAACATACCAAAATCTATGGGATACAACAAAAGTAGTACTAAGAGAGAAGTTTATAGCTATAAGTGCCTACATAAAAAATAAGTAAAGCACCAAACCTAACAATGTGTCTTTAAAAACTAGAAAAGTGAGAGCAAACCAAACCCAAAATTAGTATAAGAAAATAAATAATAATGATCAAAAGAGAGATAAATGAAATTGAAATTAAAGAAACAATACAAAAGATCAGTGAAACAAAAAGTTAGGTTTTTGAAAAATTAAATATAATTGACAAACTTTCACCCAGACTAAAAAAAGAAGATCCAAATAAATAAAATCAAAGACGAAAAAGGAGAGATTACAACTGATACTGTGGAATTTCGAAGGATCATTAGTGTCTACAATGAGCCACTGTATGGCAATAAATTGGAAAATCTAGGAGCACAGGCAACCAAAGCAAAAATGGACAAATGGGATCATATCAAGTTTAAAAAGCTGCCGCACAGCAAATGAAACAATTAACAATGTGAAGAGACAACCCACAGAATGGGAGAAAATATTTGCAAACTACCCATCTGACAAGGGATTAATAACCATATTATAAAAGGAGCTCGATCAACTCTATAGGAAAAAAACCCTAATAATCAGATTTTAAAATGGGTCAAATATTTGCACAGACATTTCTCAAAAGAAGACATACGAATGGGAAACAAAAAAGCATATGAAAAGTTG
The DNA here is from genome assembly GCF_000001405.40 of Homo sapiens. Classification (NCBI taxonomy): domain Eukaryota; kingdom Metazoa; phylum Chordata; class Mammalia; order Primates; family Hominidae; genus Homo; species Homo sapiens. The sequence continues at coordinate 147,577,032 of NC_000023.11, forward strand.
CTCAATATCATTGATCATCAGAGAAAGGCAAATCAAAATTATAACGATATGTCATCTCAGCCCAGTTAAAATGGCTTAGATCTAAAAGATAGGCAATAACAAATGCTGGTGAGGATGTGGAGAAAGGGAACTCTTGTACACTCTTGGTGGGAATCTAAATTAGTGCAATCAATATGGAGAACAGTCTGGAAGTTCCTCAAAGAACTAAAAATAGCACTACCATATGACTCAGAAATCTCACTGCTGGGTATATACCTAAAAGAAAAGAAATCAACTTATTGAAGAGAGATCTGCACTCCCATGTTTGTGGCAGCTCTGTTCACATTAGCCAAGATTTGGAAGCAATCTAAGTTTCCATTAACAGAAGAATGGACAAAGAAACTATGGTACATACACACAATGGAGTATTATTCAACCATAACAAGAATGAGACCCTGTCATTTGCAACAACATGGCATTGAATCTATAAATTACCTTGGGCAGTATGGCCATTTTCACGATATTGATTCTTCCTACCCATGAGCATGGAATGTTCTTCCATTTGTTTGTATCCTCTTTTATTTCATTGAGCAGTGGTTTGTAGTTCTCCTTGAAGAGGTCCTTCATGTCCCTTGTAAGTTGGATTCCTAGGTATTTTATTCTCTTTGAAGCAATTGTGAATGGGAGCAACAACATGGATGGAACCGGAGGTCATTATGTTAAGTGAAATAAGCCAGGCACAGAAAGACAAATATCTCATGTTTTCACTTATTTCTGTGATAAAAAACCAAAACAATTGAACCCATGGAGAGAAAGCATATAGATGGATGGTGCCTAGAGTCTTGACCGAGTACTAGGGGGTTGGGGAGGGAATCAGGGTGGTTAATGCATAGAAAAATAGAATGAATGAATAAGCCGTAATATTTGGTAGCAAAACAGAGTAAATATAGTCAATAATAATTGTACATTAAAAAATCACTAAGAAGAATAGTTGGATTTTGTGTAACACAAAGGAAAAATGCCTGATGGGATAGATACCCCATCTTCCATGATGTGGCTATTACTCACTGCATGCCTGTATCAAAACATCTCTTATAAATATATACAGCTATTACATACCAACAAAAATTAAAAATAGAAAAAATTTTAAAAACAAAGAAAGTGGATTCAAATAAGCACAATCAAAAACAAAGGTGACATTGCAACCAATTCAACAGACATACAAAAGATCCTCAGAAACTATTATATCTGTGTGCTCAAAAACTAGAAAAATCTAGAGAAAATGGATAAATTCCTGAAACACACAATTATCCAAGATTGAATAAAGAAGAAATAGAAACCCTAAACCAACCAATATTGAGTTCCAAAATTTAACCACTAACAAAAAAATGTACCTACCAAAAAATGCCCCAGACCACATGAATTCACAGCTGAATTATACCAAATGTAAAAAGAAGAACTGGTACCTATCCTACTAAAACTATATCCAAAAATTGAGGAGGAGGGACTCCTCTCTAACTCATTCTATAAAGCCAACATCACCCAAAATCTGTCAAAGACACAATGAAAAAATAAAACAACAGGCCAATATCCCTGATGAATATTGTTCCAAAAATCCTCAATGAAATACTAACGAATCAAATTCAGCACCACATCAAAAAGCTAATTCACCATGATTAAATAGGTTTTATTCCTGGGATGCAATGTTGGTTCACAATATGCAGATTAATAAATGTGATTCACCACAAACAATTGAAAACAAAAATCATATGATCATCCCAATAGATACAAGTAAAGCTTTTGATAAAATCCATTATCTCTTTATGATAAAATCCCTCAGGAAACAAGAAATCAAGGGAACCTACCTCAAAATAATAATAACCATCTATGACAAACCCACATCCATCATAATACGGAATAGGCAAAAGCTGGAACCATTCCCCTTGGGAACCGGAACAAGACAAGGATAACCATTTTCAACACTCCTATTCAAGGTAGTACTTGAAGTTCTATCCAGAGCAATCAGGAAATAGAAATAAAAGGCATCCAAATAGGAAAAGGAAAAGTTAAACTCTTTGCTGATGATATGATTCTATACCTAGAAAACCCTAAAGACTCTTCCAATAGTTCCTGAAACTTATAAATAACTTCAGTAAAGTTTCAGGATACAAATTTAATGTAGAAAAATCAGTAGCATTTCTGTATACCAATATTGTGCAAGCTGAGAGACAAACTAAAAATGCAATCACATTTACAATAGCCACAAAAAAACTAGGAATTCATCTAACCAAAGAGGTGAAAGAACTACAAAGCGCTGCTAAAAGAAAGCATAGGTGACACAAGCAAATGGAAACACATTCCATGTTTATAGGTTAGAAAAATCAATAGTGTTATAGTGGCCATGCTGCCCAAAGCTATCTGCAGATTCATCACCAAGCCTATAGAGCTACCAACATCATTTATTACACAACTATAAAAATCTGTTTTAAAATTCATATGGAACCAAAAAAGTGCCTGAACAGCCAAAGCTATCCTAAGTAAAAAGAACGAAGCCATAGGCATAATGTTATCTGATTTCAAACTATACTATAAGGCTACAGCAACCAAAATAGCATGGTACTGGTGCAAAAACAGATGTGTAGACCAGTGGAACACATCTACAGAGAACCCAGAAATAAAGCCATATACCTACAGCCATCTGATCTTCAACGAAGTCAACAAAAATGAGCAATGGGGAAACAACTCCCTATTCAATAAATGGTGCCAGAATAACTGGCTAGCCGTATGCAGAAGAATGAAATTGGATCCCTACATTTTACCATATAAAAAATTAACTCAGGATGGATTAAAGACTTAAATTTAAGAACTCAAACTGTAAGAATCCCAGAAAAAACCCTAGGAGACACCATTCTGGACATTAGCCTTGGAAAATAATTTAGGACTAAATCCTCAAAAGCAATTCACACACACACACACACACACACACACACACACACACACACACACACACCTTGACCAGTGGGACCTAATTAAACCAAAGAGCTTCTGCACAGCGAAAGAAACTACTGACAGAGTAAACACACAACCTACAGAATGGGAGAATATATTCACAAATATCACATCTGACAAAGGTCTAATATGAAGAATCTATAAGGAACTTATATAATTGCAAAAACAAAAACAATTCAAAATGGGCAAAAGACATGAACAGACACTTCTCAAATGAAGACATACATGCTTCCAACAAAGATATGAAAAAATGCTCAATATCAATAATCATCAGAGAAATGGACATCAAAACCACAATGAGATAACATCTCACACATGTCAGAATAGCTATTATTAAACTGTCAAAAAACAACAGATGCTGGTGAGGCGTCAGATAGAAGGAACACTTATACACTGTTGGTGGGAATGCAAATTAGTTCAGCCACTGTAGAAAGCAGTTTGGGGATTTCTAAAGAGACTTAAAACAGAACTACCAATTGACCCAGCAATCCCATTACTGGTTATGTATTCAAAAGAAAATAAATCATTCTGCCAAAAAGCCACATGCACTCAAGTGTTCACTGCAGCATTATTCACAATAGTGAAGACATGGAAACAACCTAGGTGCACATCAGTGGTGGATTAGATCAAGAAAATGTGGTTCATATGCACCATGGAATATTATGAAATCATAAAAAAGAATCAAATCATGACCTTTGTAGCAACATGGATGCAGGTAGAGACCATTATCCTATATGAATTAATGTACATATTGTCACTTATAAGTGGGAGCTGAACAATGGTACTCATGGACATAAAGATGGGAACAATAGACACTGGGACCACTATATGGGGGGAGGGAGCGAGGCAAGGCCTGAAAATGTAACTGTTGGGTAGTACGCTCAGTATCTAGGTGGTGGGGTCAATCATACCTCAAACCTTAGCGTAATGCAATATACCCAGGCAGTAAACCTGCATATGTCCCACCGAATCTAAAATAAAAGTTAAAATCATTAAAAAATAAATAAATTGGACTCATTAATTTTGCCAATTGATAGGTTCCCCTCAACTGGTAGTCATCTGTTCTCCAGTGTATTAGTCATGCTGTTTCAACGTTTCCTAGCTGAAAGCAGAGTTGTTCCCATCTAGTTTACTCTCTTTTGGAGGTATCCTAATTTGGCATTGCTTCCTTTCAATTTGAATACAATATTCCTGACATGTTTGAATAAATATAACATTGATTCAATTATTTATTCTTTGATCTAGACATTGTAATTCTGGTAGTAGAAAGATTGTATCCTGTTTTTACCAGCCACATGAAACTTCTTGACTTACAAAAAGTACAATTTTTTTTTTTTTTTACATAAGCCACTTCTAAGTCATGTCTCCTCTATCTTGTGATATCTTTAAAATTAAATTCAGGGTTAAACAATTACTTTTATAAGTTTCCTCTTGCTGATTTCAGCCCAGCATTCCCATTTGGGTCATATTGAAGTATTTTGATTTTTTCATGTGTTGACCAGGTTGAAGACTCTAAACTTCTACTCAATACATTCCAGTAGTTCCATAACTACTAGACTAGTGCTACCTTTGAGCTCTTACCTCATGATAACACCAACACTCAGAAATATTGTTAAATTTGGCATTTGCCTTCTCAGAGGAAAATATGGATATACATGTCTCTTATAAGAGAAAAATATGTTTAACATATCATAAAACCACCTTTTCAATTTAGTGTTTTTCCTTTCTCCTCTCAGCAATGCTAAGAATCCTAAAACAATATTCTCTACAGAAATGCACTTCTAATCCACCATGACTTCTTAGTCTGGGCATACAAGTTTAATCCTTAAGAAGACATAAAATATTCAAACTTCTCAGATTCCCTAGTAGTAATGTAGTGTAACATCAAACTATAATAGATATACTTAAAATAGGCCTTTAAATTCATACTTGTGGGTTACCTGTTCATGATAAATTTTGTAGCCTTCTTTCCCTTTTTAGCTTCTAGTTTTCAATCCCATGTTCAATCTTATGGAAGAGACATATAGCCCATATCTGTATGTCATGTTGGGGACTCATGGAACCACAATGTGTCAGGCACTGCACTGTGTGTTAGAGGGCAAGCCTGAAAACACATACTCCATTCCTCCAAAAAGCTATTCAACAGGCATGAAGTGGAAAAGGGAAAAGCATCTTTAAAGTATTTAAAGAATTGAAGAGATTGTTTATATGCAGAGACTAGCGTGGGTAGAGAATAGACTACATATGAAGATAGCCACAGTAGATAAAACAGGAAAAAGAGAAAGATTGGGTAAAAGGCCTTAAGGCCAGCCTATGAAGTATTAAGTTGATCCTTTAAGCAAGAGGGTGGGGGAAAGAACATTAAAGTTTTTAAATCAGCGGATAATATGACTAGACCTGTTTTGGAAATATTCTTTGGTCATCATGTGATGAAAGGTAGAAAGGGAAAGACTAGTTATGTAGAATCCTGGGAGGAGGCTACTGGAGTAGTATAAATGGTGGATGATACGGGCTTGAATTAGGGAAATGACAGTGAGAAAGGAAAGAAGGAAGATCTGAGTGTTTAGGTCGAGGGATATGACTACCAGATTTCTAGCAAGGGTGACTGAGTTGATATAGTTAAGAAGAGTAGATATAGAGAGGAAGATGGTAGGAATAATGAGTGCATTTCATTTGTGGATGTGTTGAATTAGAGATGCTCATGACACGCTGAGGTAGAAGTATCTCATAAAAAGCTTAAGTAGGCTCTGGACTTCAAGAAATTATATCCAAAAATTAGAATAGCTGATACATTCGACAACAGATACAGGGTCCAAAATGAATGTGCTACTCAGAGTGGAGTAATTTGTAATTTTCAAATCGGGTTCTTTGTGAAGCAAACTCTGAGTTGGAAATTAGCATGCAGGAGGTTTGTTAGGGAGGGCTTTTGGGATTAACACCTGTGAAAGGGAGGGGAAGGAACCAGGACTAAGCAGAGGGAGAGATTGATATGTGATGCAGTCCTAACAAAGGCTCAAGTCACTCCTCACAGGGAGTGCTGGACCTGAGATGACCCTGAAATGTGGTCCCAAAGTAGGGTTGGGCAAGGGTCGGGGAGCTTGGTATCTCTTTAGCTGATCAGTCTGTGGATGGAGGCTGCACCTAAATGTGTGACCTTCGTAACGTAGTTTTCTGCAGGGAAGGGAATTTCCAAAGCCTACTGAGAGCTGAAGGTTTTGTCAACAGCATTCTCAGCAGCAGAAGAAATAAATTCTTCATTGCTGAAGAGAGATCTGGCAATGCAATACAGTGTCCACCACATGCACCAAAGTTATCAAGATAAAGTTTAACATGGGTTCATATGAAGTACTGCACCTAGTCACCCAAATACAACTGTACCAACACAGGAGAGACACAGCACCTGCTTAAAAGGCTATGGGTCTATAGCAGACTGTAAGATCAATATGGTGTGGCTCTGCTTTTTTAAAAAAGGAAAATAAAGCTAAAATAATCTTACCATCAGTAAAGCTGTAGCATTAAGAACTCAGGAAATGAACATCCTGTTCAAATCTGTTACTGATCAATATCACCTGGAGTACATGATTTAGTGTTGAGCACCACGTTAAGGGGACCACTAACAAACTACCATATGCCCAGATCAAGATGACCAGAACAAGATGTTGAGGAGACTTTAAAGTCTGCCATTAATAAATTAACTGGAAATGAGCCCAGAAACCCCAACGTAAAAGAGAGTTGTATCTTCAAACATTTGGAGGACTGCTATACAAAAATAAAATTACATGTGCCATTTTATCCCAGAGGTAGAAACCATGGCTGAACACATTTTGTCACATCATAAGGAGGCACTTTCTAAGGATGTAAGTCTCCCAACAGTGGCATGGGCAGCCCCAGAAAGTAAAGAGATGTTCCTGTCACTGAAACTCCTGTAAGGGGTCAACTGTGGAGAAAGAAGTGAGGAGAGAGGGTGGCAAGAAGAAAAGCAGCATTTGATTGGAGGCTGTACTAGATGCTCCCATGACCCACTGCAGGCCTCTATGATCCATCTCATCTGTTGAGGGTTTTTTTTTTTGCTTTGGTTTTTTTTTTTTTTTTTTTTTTTTTGGAGACAGAGTGTCACTCTGTTGCCCAGGCTGGAGTGCAATGGTTGCTGTGACCTCAGCTCACTGCAACCTCCACCTCCTGGGTTCAAGCAATTCTCATCTCAGCCTCCCAAGCAGCTGGGATTATAGGCACCTGCCACCATGACTGGCTAACTTTTGTATTTTTAGTAGAGATGGGGTTTCACCATGTTGGCCAGGCTGGTCTCGAACTCCTGACCTCAGGTGATTCACCCGCCTGGGCCTCCCAAGGTGCTGGGATTACAGGCTGAGTGATTTTTTAAATGTAATAATTTCGATACTGGTAGTTAGAACTTGATAAATTAAAAATACCTCTCTACCTCTTCCCCTCTGTTTACACCTCTTCCCCAAGTTTGCATTCTCGGTGACATGGGAATTACTTGTTCATACCAAATGAGTTACCTAGTAGAAGGAAATTAAATATGTTTAATCAAATCTATGTAAACATAATTCCGAATAAAAGTTGCGTATCTTCAAAAATAGTACATGTCAAAACACCCTATGCATTAGGACAGATTTGTTGAACAAATACGGTAAGTAGGCATTGACAAACAAAGGAAATGGATTAATAAACCCAGAAGCACTAGCAATGAGGGAGGCTTATTATGGTGAATCCCCCCAGCCTCACGAAGTGTGTGCATACAAAAAGACTGTGAAATGCTCAACACCGCAATGAAAAAGCCACTCACTCTGGAATCCAGTCCTGAAATTCTTCTGTCCAGTACCACAGTCACTAGCGACAAGTGGCTATTTAAACTAAAATTAATTTTTAAAAAAATTTAAAAATGTAGTCCCTCAATTACACTAGCTACATTTCAAGTGCTTAGTACCCATGCATGGCTAATAGCTATCATATTGCACAGCACAGATATACTGTTTGTTTCTATTATAACAGAAAATTACATTGGATATCACCATCCTAACCCTTTCTTCTGAAGAAAACAAATACTAGTTCATCTTGCTTTCCTTTTTTTTCCTTTTTATTGGGGGATGGGGGACAGAAAATTATCATGGTTCAAAAATAAACTGAATGCATTTGCAATAACATTCCTACATACCAACCTCTAAAGTGCCCCCCCTTCTTCAGCAGTCATCTAAGGATCACTTCCAACTGTTTACATGGACAGAAGAAAAGAACAGGCTCAGCGTTTAGCAGACAGCTCAATCAAACATGAAATTGTGGTCCTGTAGCCACTTAGGTATAAGTGCAACAGATTTGCAGATTTATTTTAAATGAAACAAATAGTATCAGAAAGATCTTGGGAATATTCTTTATTAGCAGCAGATAACCTCCTTTTCCAACCTGCCCACTGTTGCTGTGAGTTTCTAAAGGAAAAATAGCTTTAGAAAGAGGGGGAGGAAAATGAAGTAGTCATAACATTGCATGTTTTCCTTATATGGTATCTACAGGCCGAAGACACTTTTAGTATTTCGCTAAAATATGAATGCACATAAAAAACATGTATTATAACCTATAGGTTTTTTGAGGAAAACAGTTTAAGAATAAATACCACATGAATCAAGGGGGAAAATAACCAAGGAGAGATTTATATATGTTCATGTATAATGTCATCCAAATTCCAGACCCAGGAAAAAACAGACTGATTTGGCAATTATTTGTAGCTGCTAGAAATAAAATAGGTTCCATTTTGTTCTGTAAGGTGATATACTAACACTTCAGTGTCCAGGCCTGTGGGTAGTAGGGAGATTAGGACAACAGAGCCTTTCCTAGGACTATAAGTTAATTCAGGGGATCCAAATCCAATAGAAAACCAAAGGCCTAAAATGTTCAAACATGATAACACGAGGTTTCCAGTGAGCCAAATGAGTGTAGCAAGTTCAAGATGTGGTAAGCTTATGAGTGCAGGATAACTGGTTATCCCAAGTCAGCTAGATCATCTCATCTTTCCCCAGCATCATACAGGTACCTCAGGAAGACTCAGGCTCAATGGCACCAATACAGCTTGCAGAGTGAGGAAAGACAAACAATAAGCAGAGACAGAGATTAGTAAGACACAAAGCAGCCAGGGGCTGCTTCCTGTATATGATGGATTGCAGCAAGCTCAGTCATAATGCAGGCACTACCCAATTCTGCAGCAGAGAGTGTGGACAAAAGTGAAGGATCCATGAAATACTCTATCCTCAGACATCCTACAGTGCAGAGGCAGTATTATCTAGAGACCTATCTACACACAGCAGTATTCCAGCTAGAAGGCAAGTATGAGGAAGATAGATTCCATTCCTTAGGAAAGAAACTGTCAAGAATCAGATTAGCTCTAAGTAAGACCAACTCACAAAAGGTGGGTTGCTTGATTCAGCATGTTCCCTGACCCAGATATGTTTGACTGCAAAGGCAAATATAGGAAATTGAGAGAGGGAGAGCTAGAACATACTGCTGACAGAATCCCTACCCCTAGTTTTGGGAAGCCACCTTTATTCTGAGACTTTATAGATGGACAAGATGAGGAGATGGAGCCTTCTGAGATGTATAACCTCCTTTCTTGTCAGGGTTTATTAGGAACTCTGATGGGTTTAATGGTACCGAGGAAGTCAGAATGCATGTGCGTGTGTGTATGTGTGTGCATTTATCTGGGTGTGTGTGTTGCAGTGATGGTGGTGTGGGAACTGGTGAATACAAAGGAGACACTGGAAGGTTGACACTTTACAAATATAATAAAGTGTCCTGATAAAACACTCTGTTTGTCCGGGGCGGGGGCTCATGCCTGTAATCCCAACATTTTGGGAGTCTGAGGCAGGCGGATCACGAGGTCAAGAGAGTGAGACCATCCTGACCAACATGGTGTAACTGCATCTCTACTAAAAATCCAAAAATCAGCTGGGCTTGGTGGCATGCGGCTGTAGTCCCAGCTACTCGGGAGGCTGAGACAGGAGAATCGCTTGAATCCGGGAGGTGGAGGTTGCTGTGAGCCAAGATTGCGCCACTGCATTCCAGCCTGGCAACAGAGCAAGACTCCATCTCAAAAACAACAACAACAACAACGAAAACACTCTTTGTCTTCCTCATTCTGTTCTTCATAGTTCAAGGCATGGGTCTTGTCTTCTATTTCCTTTCCTTCAGTACTCAGAACATTCCAATCAATAGAGTTTCATCGATATTGCTATTAGACATTTCCTGGGCATAACATGGTAAACCCTAAGCAAAAGGAGCCAGACCAGGGCTCCAATGACCCTGCCCCAGCTCTACTTTCTTCATGGATTAGTTAAAACAGAAAACAAAGCTAATCCTAGGATAAACTGTTTCTAAGAAAACATTTAAAAAAGAAGATACAAAGTTATGGCTCACTGAGATTCCAACTTTCATAATGTTTTTGGACATCCCCTTGAGGGGGTTATTCTCAAAATCGAACTGAAAACACCTGGAAAACAGCCAGGCACCATGTTCACCCTGACAAACACTTTGTTTTCCAAGTTTCATGCTACCTCTCCTCAACTGTAACTGCTTTTAGGCATGAAATATAAAAGCAGTAAAAATGAAGAGGCTCAACCAGGGCTCGTTAAGATCACAGCTGAGTTTAGGAAGACATTAATGGAACTGCAGTGGCTTCAGGGACCCTTCCTTGCTGAGATCTTCAGCCTCTTCATGCTAACCACCCATGTACCTCGTGGAAAACTAGTCAACTGATGCAGCCTATGGAATACTCGCACTGTTCCATCTGGTCCACAGGATCTCCGTAACATCTACATAAGAGAATCAACAGCAAGCTTTTTTGGAAAAATGATGTCCTTTCCCCATATCCCAAACATTAATTCAGAACATTCAGTGGTGAGGTTCAGGCATCAGTATTTTAAAAATAAGAAAAAGAGAAAAGAAAGATGGAAAAAATTCCCTAGTCATGGATAAGAACCATGGAAAAAGGCCATCTATTTCATTGGTTTCTATTACTCATTTGCCTTGATTTTAGATGAGTTTTCTGATCTCGGATGAATTTTCTGACTCTAATATAATAATACGTACCTCATCCTATTTTTCTCAAGTAGATTGTGATTATATGAAACTGCCTTAACTATCTTGTGTGGAAGAAAAGGACATTAGTAGTAAGAGAATTTACAGCTCACTGAGACATACTTGTTTAGCCACAGCAATCAAGTGAGAGAAAGAAAGGGCATCCAAAGTGACAAAGAAAAAGTCAAATTACCCTTGCTTGCAGACAATGTGATCTTACATTTAGAAAATAACTAAAGGCTCCAACAAAAAAAACTCTTAGAACTGTCAAACATATTTAGTAAAGTTAAAGGATACAAAAATCAACCTAAAATGTCAGTATTGTCTCTATACTAACAATGTCATTAACAATGATCAATCTGAAGAAAAAAAAAAAAAAAACGAAGCAATCCCATTCACAATAGCTACAATTAGCTAGGAAGAAATTTAACCAAAGAAGTAAACTGTCTCTACAAGGAAAACTATAAAACAACAATGAAAGTTACTGAAGAGGACATTAAATAATAGAAAGTTATTCCATGCTCATGCTTTGAAAAAATTATTATTAAAATGACAATACTACCCAAAGCAACCTACAGATTCAATGCATTCCCTATCAAAATACCAATGACAGTTTTCATAGAAATAGAAAAAACAAAACCATACAGAACCATATAGAACCAGAAGACTCCAAATAGCTAAAGCAATCCTGAGCAAAAAGAACAATGCTGAAGGCATCACGTTACCTGACTTCAAATTCTACTACAAAGCTGTAGTAACCAAAATAGTGTGGTACTTCCATAAAAACAGACACATAGAACTATCAAACAGAATGGGGAACTCAGAAATAAATTCATGCACTTACAGCTAAGTCATTTTCAACAGAGATGCCAAGAATACATGGCATTTAAAATATGATGCTGGGAAAACTGGATATCCATATGCAAAAGAATGTAATTAGATCCTCATCTTTCACTATATGTAAGAATCAAAATGAAATAAAGACTTAAATCTAATACCCAAAACTATAAAACTACTAGAAGATAAATATTAGGAAAATGCGATAGGACATTGGTCTGGGCAAAGCTTTTTTGGGTAAGACCTCAAAAGCATAGGCAACCAAAGCAAAAACAGACTAAAGGGATTAAATCAAGCTAAAAAGCTGTTGCACAGCAAAGGAAACAAAGTGAAGAGACAATTCAGAATGGAAGAAGATACTTGCAAACTATCCATCCAACGAGGGATTAATAACAATAGTATATATGGAACTCAGACCAGGCGTGGTGGCTCACACCTGTAATCCCAGCACTTTGGGAATCCAAGTCAGGAGGATTGCTTGATGCCAGGAGTTTGAGACCAGCCTGGACAACATAGTGAGACCTCATCTCTATTAAAAAAAAAAACAACCTGAAAACCATGGCATTGAAGCTTGTGCCTGTAGTCCCAGCTACTCGGGAGGCTGAAGTGGGAGAATTACTTGAACCCAGGTCGAGGCTGCAATGAGCCATGATCACACTACTACACTCCAGCATTGGTGACAGAGTGAGATCCTGACTCAAAAAAAAAAAAAGGAACTCAAACATCTCAATAGCAAAAACTAAATGAAAATAAAAAGTAATAATCTTATTTTAAAATGGGCAAAAGATCTGAATAGACAATTCTCAAGAGAAAACATACAAATGGCCAACAGATGTATGAAAACATGCTTAACATAACTAATTATCAGGGAAATGCAAATTAAAATCACAATGAGAAATCATCTCACTCCAGATAGAATGGCTATTATCAAAAAGATATAAAATAGAAAATGCTGGTGAGGATGCAGAGAAAAGGAAATGCTCATACACTGTTGCTGGGAATGTAAATTAGTACAGCCACTATGGAAAGCAGTATGAACATGCCTCAAAAAACTAAAAATAGAACTACCATACAATCCAGCAATCTCACTACTGGATATATATAGCCAAAAAGAAATGTAATCAGTATATTAAAGAGATATTGGCACTCTCATGTCTGTTGCAGCACTACTCACAATAACCAAGAAGTGGAAGCAAGCTAAGTGTCCATCAATGGATGAATGGATAAAGAAAACATTACATACACACACACACACACACACACACACACACACACACACACACACAATGGAATACTATGCAGCCATAAAAAGAGTTAAATCCTGCCATTTGCAACAACATGGATGGACTGGAGGTCATTATGTTAAGTGAAATAAAGCAAGAACGGAGAGACAAATGTGGGGGCTACAAATGTGGGTCTTGTGGAGGTAGTGAATAGAATGGCGGTTACCAGAGACTGGGAAGGGCAAAAGGAGGGAGTATGAAGGGAACTTATTTAATGGGTACAAAAATAAAATACGCTAGAAGGAATAAGTTCTAGTATTCAATAATACAGCAAGGAAATTGCAGTTAATAATTTATTGTATATCTAGAAGAAAAAAATTACAATGTACCCAACACAAAGATATATATTTTAGTTGATGGATATCAAATTATCATTATTTGATCATTATGTATTATATACATGTATAAAAATATCACATGTATCCCCAAAATGTGTACGACTATATCAATAAAGAATACCGAAACCCCCCCAGTTTTAGATCTTAAAGCCACTCTTTGTTTTTGTTATGCCTGGGAGATTAATTAATTCTAGTATTTTAATCTCTTATTCAGAGCTCAAATGATGCTCAAATAGGTTGAGGGATTTACTCAAGATCATAAAATTGGTAATACATGCCAATCTAAATTCAAAGGTTAAGATCTTCCCATGACTCCAAACTCCATTTCAGCCAGGAGAGCCTGACTTTTTACTCTGACGCTGGCACTAACTGGATGTGTGGGGTCCCTACCCCCGTATTCTATCTAGTTCTCTTTTCCTGTCAGTATAAAATAAGAAAATTGGACTAGGCCATCCCTTATGCTGCTCTCAGATCTAAGATTCTATAAGCTTGAGATTTGATGTCCCAAGACATGTCGAGTCCAGGTATTGCTATTTACCACACATGCATTTCTTTATTTCAATTAAGATGCTCATTTAAATTGCAAGATATATGTTATTAAGAGAAAACTACCTAGAATTCATTTTAGAGTAAGTTATCTCTACTTAAAGACAGATTGCCCTATGTTTAACAGCCAAATATTTGCAAAGTTACAAAATTTTCCTCGGTTCTATTACGGTAAATAAAATATGTTGATATTATACAAGCAAAATGTACAAAGAAATTTTTGCTGAAGAATGGAAACAAAGTAACTTATTCCATCGGCCAAATTGTACAATACTAATGGCATTGTTTCCTTAAAAGAATAAATTATACATATCTGTGAACATATTTTAGATACATACCTCAGATAATAAAGGAATAGTGGAATAAAAGAATAGGGAAAAACATTAATTCGGTAGTCGATATATAGTAAAAGCAAGTGTTTTAATAAATATTAATCAAGTTTTATTCAGGTTTATGTCCTTGTTTGTAGAAACAGAGTATAGAACAGAGGAGAATATTGTGAAATAATGAGTAGCCATTTATGTTTTTAGTAGATATTGCCCACTTGTTCTGAATGAAAACATCATTTTCATCTTCCATTTTCAGTGAGGAAGACTTATCTGCTTCATTTATTGGCTGTCCATCAAACAGGAATATGATCTGACTCAGTAGAAAGCACTTCCATTCATAGTGACTATTACCTTTAATAAATGTTGCTTAAAATTTAACATTAAACTTTAGCATATAACCATCTCGCCCTGCCATCTTGAGATGAATTTTCTTTCAGAGTGTTTATTCTTTATTTGGGTTGTTTTAACAGCTATAAGTGACAGTCTCCGCAGGTACTCCTCAAAAATGAGGTAGCAAGTCTACCCTTATTTATTGAACACACAACTGCACTGTAAGGTCATCATACTGACCTTGTAATGCAATCGTGACAATTACATAAAATCATCTATTTGACACACTGCAAATTGTAAAATATTATGGTCTTAAACCTTTAAAAATTCTATAAAATGTAAGCTGAAACTTCATTAATTATTCTCACCATCTTTCCCTCTAAACATAATTTCCTCCTGCACAGTTTTCCTTATTATTAACATCTTGCATTAATGTGGTATATTATTTTACAAATAATGAATCAATATCGACACCAAACTATGAACTACTTACATATATCCCTAACAAGATCTGTATAAGGAAAACTACAAAACTCTGATGAAATAAATAAAAAAGATCTAAATATATAGAAAGATAATCTATGTTCATGGATAAGACTCAATATTTTTAAAATAGCAGTTTTCCCAATCGATCTATAAATTTATGCAATCTTAATCAAAATCCTAGAATGTTTTTGTGGATACCAGGAAACTGATTCTAAAGTTTATCTGAAAAGGCAAAAGACTCAGAGAAGTCAACAGAATTTTTTAGAAAAAAAAAAAACAGAGCCAGAAGACATTACCTGACTTCAAAACTTACCACAAAGCTATAATAATCAAGAAAGTGTCATAGAGGCAAAAGAATTGACACATAGATCAATAGAACAGATCAGATTGATAAAACAGAATAGATAACACAAAAGTAAACACATGCAAATATAGTCCAATGATCTTTAAGAAGCAAAAGTAATTCAATGGAAGAAAGGATAGTCTTTTCAGCAAATGGTGCTGGACCAGCTAGACGCCCACAAGCAAAAATAGTTTAATATAGACACAGATCTTATATCTTTCACAAAATTAACTAAAAATGAATCTTAAACCTAAATTCAAAACACAAATCTATACTATTCATAGAAAATAACACATAAAAAGTCCAAATGACCTGGGGTTTGGCATTGAGTATTCAGATATGGCACTAAAAGTATAATCCATTAGAGAAATGATGGATAGGTGAGACTTCATTAAAATAAAAATTTTCCATTCTACAAATGACACCATAACGAGAAGTAAATGACAAGCCATAGACTAAAGGAAAAAAAATTCACAACACATATTTGATACAGGACTTGTATCCAAAATATACTAAAACTCCTAAAGCTCAAAAATAAGAAAGCAAACAAAAAGTCGGCAAAAGATCTAAACAGACACCTCAGCAAAGAAGTTATTCAGATGGCAAATAAGCATACGAAAAAATGCTCATGATGTGTCATTAGGGAACTGCAAATTAAAACAACAAGTGGTACTATTACGAACCTATTAAAATGGCTAAAATCCAAAACACTGACAACACCAAATGCTGACAAGGATGTGGAACAACAGAAATTCTCAATTCATTGCTGGTGGAAATGAAGGGTACAGACATTTTGGAAGACTGTTTTGCAGTTTCTTACAAAGTCAAACACAGTTTTACCATATGATCCAGCAATCACACTCTTTGATATTTACCCAAATGGGTTCAAAACTTGTTTCCACACAAAAACCTGCACAAGAAAGTTTACAGCAGCTTTATCACAAAAAATTCTGAAAACAATCAAGATGTCCTTCAACAGGAGAATAGATAAACGAACTGTGGTACATCCATACAACAGGATATTACTCAATGAAAATTTTAAAAACCATCAAGTCATGAAAATACATAAACCCTAAATGCATATTGCTAAGTGAAGAACAACAGTATGAAAAGGCTACATACATAGATGGCTACTATGTGCACGCAAGCTCCTTAAGCTATTGTGCCTTGCGCCTTGCTTATTGTATTCTCCACTCTGAGCCTGAGGGTGTGTTGCCATTTATCATCACTGCTGACCTGTTTTTCAGATAGTAGAGATGATAATCTGTACACAAATCTAGAAAAGACGACAAAAGCTGGATAATTAAATCTTGCAGGTTTGTCTAACAATTTCAAAATATAATCTACAGTATTACATATGTTATTATATTACATGTTTACACTATAATTCAGAGAAAATAAAAGTAAGTTTGATTTCATTCTCTGGTAGTTTTGTTTTTTTTTAAATTCCTGGTTTACTTCTGCTGTTTATCTTCTTGGCCTTGGTAGGCAAATGAGTTTTCAGTCCCTACTCTAAGCCAAAGGAAAATGGAGAAAATGTTTAAATGATTTTCAAATCACTGGCTGCTAAGTGGTGAATGGGTAACAGTTGCAGCTGGGAGAGCAGGTAGGAGACTGAACTAAAGATGATTGGGTTAGAAAGTAGAAAGATGAGATATTTTCAATATATATAGTTTTGTGATGAATATGCTGACAGAATAAAACTTGAGGAGTAAAGATTGGAAATAACAGGTATGGAATTAGGGGTTGGAGTTCCATTTTGGATATACTAAGATTGAGATATCTTTTAAACATCTAAGAGGGGGTATGGAACATTTCACTGTATGCAGTATGTATTGAATTTGGTGACACAAATGAATATTGACCTTGACAAGCATATGTATTTTCACAAAAGTCAGGTCCTAGTGAGATGAGTAAATGCAGATAAAGATGTGGTATCTGAGAAGTTACCCTACTCTTTCAAGACATTTCTTGACCACATAAAAGTGTTTTAAAACACATTATTATATATGATTGACATTTTTAAAAGCTATATTTTATGTATACAGTTTGATGAGTTTGGAGATAAATGTACATCTATGAAATTATCACAAACTATGCTATAAACATATTCATTGCCTCAAAAAGTTTTCTGACTCTATTTGTTACCATTATTTTGTAGGTGTGCACGTGTGTGTGTGTGTGTGTGAGATAAGAACACTTAATATAAGATCCACCTTCTTTCAGGTATACAGTATAGTATTGTTAACCATAGGCACTGTGCTATAGATCTCCAGGACCGCTTCATTTTGCAGAACTGAAATTTTGTACCCTTTGACTGATACCTCCATTTTCCCCCCTCCCTCCGAGCCCCTGAAAAACCATAATTTTACTCTGTTTCTATGACTACTTTAGATTTCTATATAAGTGAGATTGTGTAGTATTTATTGTGCATCTGGCTTATTTCACATAGGATAATGTCCTCCAGGTTCATACAAATTGTCAACAATGACAGGATTTCCTCCTTTTTAAAGAATTTACAATATTCCACTGTATGTATATACCACATTTTCTTTATCCATTTGTCTATGAACTTTAGGTTGCTTCCGTGTCTTGGCTATTGTGAATGATGCTGCGATAAACATGAGAGTGCAGATATCTCTTTAGGATACTGATTTCAATTGTTTAGATATATACCCAGAATTAGAAATGCTGGATTATATAGTAGTTCTACTTTTAATTTTTGAGGAAGCTCCAGTTTTCCATATTGGCTGCACCAATTTCCACTTCCTCCAGCAGTGTACGGTGGTTTTGTCACCACAACCTCACTGACACTTATCTTTTTTTTAATAATAGTCATCCCAACAGGTGTGCAGTAATATCTCATTGTGGTTTTAATTTGCGTTTCCCTGGTGATCAGTGACGCAGAGCTCCTTTTCATGTACTTGGCCATTTCTATGTCTTTGTAGAAATGTCTGTTCAATTATTTTGCCCATTTCTTAATTTGCTTAATTTTTTTTTCTGTTAAGTTTTATGAGCTCCTTATATATAGATGGTCCCTGAAGTATAATAGGATTATATCTGGATAAACCCATCATAAATAAAAAATCATAAGTCAAAATGAATTTAATACCTTTATAAATCCAGCATAAAGTCACAAAAATCATCAGTTGAACTATCATAAATTAGAGATCATCTGTATTTTGGATATTAACCCTTTATCAGATATATGGTTTGCAAATATTTTTTTTTCATTTCATAGGTCGTCTTTTCATTTGGTTGATTGTTTCTTTTCCCGTGAAGATGCTTTTTCGTTTGATTCAGCAGACTACATTAAGACATTGTGATGTGAAGTAGAGCCCTAAAATGAAGCAGTAGCTGTTAAGGGGATATGTAATCATATCCGGTCGGGTTATTGTTGTTTGTTTCAGACAGAAAATTCTAGAGTATGTCTGTATGCTGATGGGATACTGCAGTAAAAAGAGAGAAAGTTATGATACAAGTTATTAATAGGAAAGGAAAATCGATGTAGTGATGTCCTCAGTAGACAAATGAAGAACAGATCCAGGGCATAAGAGGAAGTATTCATTTTTGATAAGAATCAGAACACTTTCTTCCTTGTACTGAATAGAAAGGCAGAAACTATAGGTAGAGATGCAGGAAGATTTGGAAACATGGTAGCAGAAAGATGGAGACTTTATTTTTTATTGCTTCTCTTTTTTCCAGTGAAGTATGAGGTATGGTCATCAGTTAAGAGTTGAAATGGGAGAACAAAGAAATGAAATTGAAGAAAACAGAGTAGCGATAGAAAGTGGTGGACTTAATAGACTGAAGGCCTCAATTAGAAAAGGGTGTTTGAAATCTAAATTGCAGAGGTTGTACAAGGGAACTGAGGGCAATTATATAAAAATTAATTGTATTTTAACTAAAAGGCATTTCATTTTTATGAGGGTGAGACCTTTATTTTCCTCACCACTATATCCCAGACTAACACACAGCAGTTGTTCAGCTAATATTTTTAAATGAATGAAAATAAAGATGGATTATAAAATGTGATGGATATGGTAAGTTTGTGGTTAGAATGCAGAAGCTGAATAAAGAGAAAAGGTAAATTGAATGTAGCACTGCAAGTACTGTAGTAAGTGAGCAAAATTGATAAGGGGAAGTGATTAGAAGGCAGCATGCCTAAAACTGGGATTTGAGAGTTGTAAACAAAGAACTGTATGGCTTATTTTGGCTTGAGAAAAATGATCAGTGGCAATAAGAAGGTCACCCAACAGGAAGGCCAGAGTGTTGGACAGTTCATGTCAGCAAAAATGATGGAAATAGGAGAAACGGAATAAATCAAGTACTACAGTCTTAAGTTAATATGAGTAGGGATGGTGGTGATTAGGATGTGGGTAGATGATGACAAGTGAAAGTATGGTCTTACTACATACATTTCAAAGGAGGAGAAAATTTTGAAGTCAAATCAAAAGTAAGAGAAACTATTTAGAAGAGTCATTGCCAATGATTTTGATTCACTTGGTTGTTGAGCTGAACCAAGATTGGCATACCACCAAATTCTTTTTTATTGTTCCTATACGTGCCCATAGTTGTCCCATTGCCTTGGTCCATGAGGTGGGCAGAATAATGGACCCCAAAGATATCCACACTGTAATCCCCAGAACCTGGATGTTACCTTCCAAGACAAGAGGGACTTTCCAGATGTGATTAAGTTAAGGACCATGAGATGGAGAGATTATCCTAGATTGTCTGTGTACACCTAACATAATCACAAGAGTTTTCATTAGAGGGAGGCAGAAACGTCATAGTATTAGGAGATGTGATGACAAAGGAAGAGGTAGGAGTGATGTTAGGAAGGGGACATGGGCCATGGAATGCAAGAGAACTCCAGAAGCTGAAAAGAGCAAGGAAATGGACTATCTACTGAAGCATTTGGAAGGGATGCAGCTCTATTGATACCTTGATTTTAGACTTCTAACCTACAAAACTGTAAGATAAACTTGTATTGTCTAAGGGACTAATTTTGTGGTAATTTTTTACTGCAGCAACAGAAAACTAATAGAGTTCCTGAACACCATCATGAACTGTAGAGAGAAAGCTGTCACCCTAAGTTGTTATGGCAGGCCTCAGGAAATTGCTCTCTCAAGTTCAGAATGATGTGGCGTTCTGCCTCCCACTGATCCCCGTCACACTGTTTTATAGCACATGCATACATTGCAGTATGAAGTCCTTAGGGGAAGTAAATATTTTCTATAGCCTCCCTCCTTTGAATCTTGCATATACATAGATTGTTGCGCTATGCCCAATAGTTTATGGTAATTGTTTAAGAGTCTATGCAGCTTTCCTATTAGCTGTAACTTCCCTGTTGTTTTTCTATATATTCTTAATCTCCTTTATCTCAGTGCTTCATTTAAAAAAAAATTGTCATTGGCTCAACAAATGTGAATTAAACAGATTGAAACTAATGGGATACACTAATGGGGTCTAGATAGGGTGGAACATACACCATGATTTACCCACCTGCAGATACAGGAAGAAATCTTAGCAGGTGACACATGGCATGGTCTTTGAAGTGGATAAAAACAGACACAGGTCAGGACTGAATAACAGCAAACAAGCCTTATTTCTGAGGTCTTATTTGCTCCTTAGATATCTCCTGCCTATGGTCAGGTATGATTCTAGGGCCTGGCACATGTTTTATGAAAAACAAAACCCAAAGAATGAGATACTTGAGTGATATGTATAGTATTTCCATAGATGCTTGGCTTTTTCACAAAGGAAGTTAAAAAGTCTGGGTTATACAATGACTTTGAAAATGAGCAAAATAGTATTTTCTTGATTCTCATTAAAGATCTAACTTTTGGAATTGCTTTGTGAGTCAGTTTATGAGACACAAGAAAGTTGGCCCCATTGTTTACTTAGTCACCCCTTATTTCTGAGAAAAAAATGAATTTGTTGAGTGAATCAATGAATGAATTGAATGCTCCTACATAACTTTTAACAATTTTCAAATAAAACCTTCACTCAAAAGACAAAAATGTATGCCCAAATCTAAAGGCATCTTCTGCAAGAGACTATCTGGAGGGAACAGCACAGAGTTATGTGTGTACATTTTGATTTGTGTGTTAAAAATCAGCTGTATTCCTTATCCTAGTTCATGAGGCACTCAGTGACACATTAAAAATGGACACTGTCAGTTCCATAAGGGGCTTAAAGATTTTTGAGCCTAAACAAAGCAATCTTGATTTTGTATCACCAAAGCTTCCTGTAATTCATTCACTTATTCATCAATAAACATTGAAATGTCCACCTTGAGTTAGGCACTGGAAATGCCATGGTAAGAGAGATTCCTGACATCATTGAACTCAGTGTCTAGCCTAGGAGACAGACATTGAATAAACAATCTCAATTGTCATGAGTTTTATGTGATGGGGCATACAGGGGGATTTGGGAATATGCAACAAGGATTGCCACCTAATCTGAGGTTTAGGGAAAGCTTCTTTGAGGAAGTGATCTTGACCTGAGCTCTAAACATTAAATAGAAATTAACTGGGTGAAAATGGCAGCAGGGAGGGAAAGATTGAGCTAGATTTCAGGCAAAGAAGTTAGTATGTGTAAAGGCCCTGAAGCCTGAGGTTATGAAAAAACACTACTGTTTGAGGAATTAAAATAATTTCAGCGTGGCTAGAGCAGACAGAGTAAGAAAAAAGAGGCAGATCAGTGCTATGAATTGAATTGTGTCCCTCCCCCCCAAATTAATATGTTGAAGCTCTAATCCCCAATGAGATATTATTTGGAAGTGGGGCCTTTGGGAAGTAATTAGGTTTGGATGAGATCATGAGAGTGGGGGCGCCCTTATGATGGGTTTAGTGCCCTTATAATAAGAGACACCAGAGTGTTCTCTCTCTTTCCTGTTCTCCATCCCTCCCTCCCTCTCTCTGCCCTGTGAGGACACTGCAAGAAGGGGGCCATCCGCAAGCCAGGAAAAGAACCCTCACCAGGAATCAAATTGGCTGGCACCTTGATCTTGGACTACCCAAGCTTCAGAACTGTAAAAAACAGATTTCCTTTGTTTAGGCCATCCAGTCTGTGGTACTTCTTTATGGCAGTTCTAGCAGTTTAAGACGGTGGGTCATCGGTAGATAGTAGGGGCCAGTCCACAGGTCCCTGTAGCTGACTTAGAATTTTTTCTCAGGACCAGACAAGTAGACAAGAAGGAAGAGTGCCATCCAGACCTATGATGGCTTTAATTTAGATTGTGTTTTTGTTGCGGTTCTCAACTTAGCTGATTATATACACATTTTAAAGGGCATGTTTCGGAATACACAACTGAATCCTGGTAAATGAAAAACCAAGTCATGGGTAGGTCATGCCAGTAAGAGTAGCAGGAGGCTGGCTCTAAACCTGAGCAACACCTGGTAGCAGCTATGCCAAATTGCATATACTGCCCCTCACAACAGGGGTTATCCCCAAAATCTATGTTCAAGAAGAACAATGCCTACTGGTAATGAAAGACAGTCCTTTCCCAGATGCTGGATTCAGAGCTAAATCAGAGGTGAAGTGATTGACCCAGAGTATTTTGCCACCAACTTACTGTTCTATTTTTTTGATGCATATTTGCATTATAATGTGGAATATGGGGCATCTCCATGCTCTTCCATAGGTACCCAGTGTACAAACAGATGTGGTTCACACACAGCCAATCGTTTTTGTGTGTTTCCTACAGCATGGGCATCTATGATGACATTTCCCACAAATGTTTTTTCCCGATGCTGAGAATACCTAACAGGTGAGGGGTCCTGTACAGAAATTAAAAACAAACAAAAACCTCATTTTTTCATCACAAATACCTTAGTTATTGGTACTCTCAAGTGCTGCATTCATTCTAAGTATGGACTCCCTTGACACTTAAAGTTCCATGTTGTTTTAAGATTAAATAGCTTCAGAGTGAGAAATTATTGCTATAGTAACAGACTATCCATGGCTCTTTTAAAAATAAATGACCATAATCAAACCAAGAATTCATTCAAACTGTTTTAATAATAAGCAAGCAAACTGAGGAGAAAGGTGGTATTTGAAAGCACTGAATGTTTTCTGTTCTTATTTCCTTTTAAAAACCGCATAACAATACCTAGAAGAGAAATTTTGGATTGAATCAAAGGATTGCCATTTGCTCAACATGAAGAGGAAGCTTTGTTTTTTAAGTATAAACATTTCTTGCTCTTTTATACCTAAGCTTTTAAAAAAGGGCATAACATTTATAAATGTAACTTGGTTCTTTTTAGAAGAGCAAAGGCCCCTTTTTGTGAAAGGGGTTGGTTCTTAACAAAAGGAGGTTTTGTTGTAAGCATGGACAGAAGTTAGATAGACTTCATTCTTTCTTCGATTTTCTGTTCATTTGATACTTCATGTGACCTTAGGTAACTGGTTTTCCTTTCTCAGTGGTTTAGGTAAAATGCCTGAAAAGTGGGCAAATGTTTTGAGACACTTTACCCAGTTAATTCAAACAGCCATCATTAGCCAAGTTGGTCCCCAGTGGTACCATACTCACAGGCCTGGGCTCAGGTACCTGCTCCACTACTCAGTAATTTGTGACGATGAGCTAGGCCCTTAACTTTTATAAACCTCACATACTTCACCTGTAAACTAGAGATTATAATATGGCTGTATGCCTTATTCTGCTCTGAATTTGGGAGATAATAAAATGAGATAAGAAATGAGTATGCTTTGGAAACTCTTTAAAAATAAGATTAAAATTGCATAGCTCTCCTCTCCTTACAAAGGAAGGGGTGTGTGTGTGAATTTCTACAGTGCTGATGTGTAGTTAGAGATGTTGGTGTTACTCAAAACAGATACTATGTTTCTTAGCCACAGAAGATTAAGTGCTTCTGGACAACTGTTATTTTATAGTTAGGTCTGAAGGGGAGGGAAGGAACCTCTCATCAGCATATACTCTGATTGGATGGCAATTAGCAGATTGCAGCTGCCAGTAATTTATAACTATTTTCTCATCTTTACAGATGAGGACAGTGAGGCTCAAATATTATTTCAAGTCCAAGGATGTAGCGTTTACACATGTATCAAATTATCACACTGTACACTTTGAATATATACAATCTTTGTCAATTAAATATTTTTAAGTAACAATAAATAAAAAAACTCCAAAGCAAATCTGGATAAGACTTAAGTGATAAAAGGATGAAAAAAATAGCCTTCCAGACTGGGTACAAAATATTGTGGTAGGTTACACTTCGGAAGATAAACTGTGAAAAGAAAATACATTCTTATCTCAAGGAATAGTTGAACTATTCAACTAGAGAAAGCTAATGAAGTTAGAGCTAGACATGAAAAAGAGAATGCCAGAGGCCCCTTTTTTTTTTTTTTTTTTTTTTTTTAAGGAATGAACATCCTTTGAAACAAAAAAGATGAACGTTAGTTGAAGCAAGAAAATCAAGGTTCAGTTTCCTGGATTTAAAAGACATTTCATCAAGGACACTTAACTACATAGTAGCAAATAACTGACCTAAGATCACACAGCTTGTCTAAGGCAAAACAAGCTACCCTCCATTGCAGATTAGACGTGGATCTCCAACCTCAAAGGCAAAGGGTAAGACTGAGGATGGGTGTTCCTCCTCATCCTGCCAGGAAGCATCAGTGTAAGATAAACTAGAGCTCTACTTGGATTTAAGCTGAACTATGAATTTGGCTCGGAATCACTACATTGGGCATGTATGATTCACCACTTCACAGAAAAGTCGTCATAATAGAATTGATTGCTTTACCAGGACTGAGTATTGATGAATTTCTCAGAGATCTTTGTGCATAAGAGGTAGCTAGGCTTCTGTGTCAACAAATACTGGAGCAAGTCAGCCTTAGAGGGGAGTGGCCTGAGCACCATCTAGTGTAAATGCTCTCGTAAATGTTCTTGAAATGATAGGTATGTACAACTGCCATCTAGTGACAATGGGGAAAAAATGCTCTAGGACCAGGGAAATCAGCTGAAATCATTTGTAAACTAAAGCTAATCAGGTGATGATAAAATAGGCTTAATTGCAGTCTCCCATAGATATGAATTAAGCCACATTTCTAATTATGGGTATATTATAATATATTCCCTTTGGATTTTACTGTGAGAAAACTTGGCCTTCTGTGACCCTCCCTTCAGTTGCCATCCCGTAAACCTTTTCCATCGACCTCCCCCAGCACTTTGTCCTTGTCTTACACACTCTACTCTCAATATAGCAACCAGGTTTAACATACACACACACACACACACACACACACACACACACACACACATATATATATGTACATACAGTGTTATTGTGTGGTTAAAGATGTTGGTGTTTCTCAAAACACATACTATGTTTCTTCTGTTAATATATATATATGTATATATACGCATGTATGTATGTGTATATATACGTGTATATGTGTGTGTATATGTATATACACGTGTATATATACGTGTATATACATATATACATGTGTATATATACGTGTATATACATATATACACGTGTATATATACGTGTATATACATATATACACGTGTATATATACGTGTATATACATATATACATATATACACATATGTATATATGTATATACACGTGTATACATATATATACACACACACATATATACACACACACACACACACATATATATACACACACACATAAGCCAGGTCATGTTATTCCTCTGCTCAAAACCTTCCCATAGCTCCTACTTTCAGAGTAGAAGTCAAAATCCTTACATAATCTGGCCCTCAATTACCACTGTACATACATCTTCTACCGTCTATCCCTCACTCAGTTCTAGCTACACTGGTCTTCTTGCATTATTTCAAACATCAGACATCCTTCTGCCTTAGACTTATTTTTTCCCTGTACTGAATGAATATATAGTATATGCGATTTAAATTTGTATTTAGGAAAACTGGCTTTTCAGGAGATGGAGCTGGCATGGTACAGTGGTTGAGAGCATGGGTGTTGGTGTCAGACACACCTTAGTTGAACCTTGGATCTACCACTCACTAGCTGTGTGTCTTTGAACAGATATTTTATCTTTTTCAATACTCAGTTTTCTCATCTGAGAAATAAAGACAATAAAACCTACTTTCAGCTGGGTGTGGTGGCACACGCCTGTAGTCCCAGCTACTCAGGAAGCTGAGGCAGGAAAATTGGTTGAACTCGAGAGGCAGAGGTTGCAGTGAGCCAAGACTGAGCCACCGCACTCCAGCCTGAGTGACAGAGTGAGACTGTCTCAAAAAAATTAAAATTAAAAATTAAAAATACAACCTACTTCATAAGGCTGTGGCAAGAATTGACTAATAAAAGACTTGTTCTTAGCAGAAGGCAGGCACCTGGTAGACACTCCATAAATATTGCCTTATTGGTGTTATTAAGATGGAGAAATGCAGGCTGATGATAGTTTGGTCAGATGGTGCTCTATCTGGCTGAAGAGCTGTACTAAAAGTGTAATGCTCAAAGGCTGTAGTCATAGCCACTCAACCCTATGTCTCATACTTTTACCAAAAAAAAAAAAAAAGACATAAAGGGCCTGCACATCATAATCAGAAATGGCATTAAGGGATGACAGCAAATGATAGTCAGGGTTGCCAAATATCTCACCAAGCAGTTATATAGAGTCCATGTTTTAACCGTGAAGCATAAAGTTTCAGCGTAAAATCTCAAATACATAACGATGGGAGATGGTGACATGACTTAGCAACAGCACATACAAACATGAAGAATTTTAGTTGTCTGCAAATTCAGTAGGAATGAAGGATGCTGTGTGAATACCAGAAGGACTAATTTGAATTTGGACTGCATTAATAAATGCACAGTGTTCAGAACAAGAGATGGGATAGCTCCACCCTGCTCTGTACAGCTGAAGCAGTGGGCTCACTTCTGAGCAGAACCCTTTAAGGAGACATGCCTGAAGAGCAGTCACTCAGGTGGTGAACGGGTGACAGACATAAAAAGCAGTTTAAAAGCCTTTGAGTGTTTTGACCTGAAGGTGTGCAGACTCAGAGGGAAATGATCACTGTCTTCAGATCCCTGAAGGGCTGTCATGTGAGAGAAAGAACAAACTTAGTCTGCCCGTTATTCTGAATGGCTTCATTCAACAAATACTGAAAACTTCAAAAAGTCCCCAGGAGATAGACTAAAACTAGAACTACCATTTGATCCAGCAATTCCACTAATAAGAATCTACCCAAAGGAAAGGAAATTATATCAACAGGACACCTGCACTGGCATGTTTATCACTGCACTATTTACAATAGCCGAGATGTGGAATCAACCTATAAGTCCATCGATGGATAATTGGATAAAGAAAATGTGGTATATGTACACAATGGAATACTACTTAGCCATAAAAAAGGAATGAAATCACGCATTTTGCAGCAACTTGGATGGAGCTGGAGACCATTATCTTAAATGAAATAACTCAGACACAGAAAGAAAAGTGCCACATGTTCTCATAAGTGGGAGCTCAAAAGTGTATAAATGGACATAGAATGTGGAATGATAGACAATGGAGACTAGCAAGAGTGCAAGGGAGGGAGGAGGGTGGATGATTAATTACTTAATGAGTGTAACATGTGTTATTTGAGTAATGGATACTCTAAAACCCCTGACTCCACCACTATACAATCTATCCATGTAACCAAATTATACTTGTATGTATCCTATACATTTATACAAATTTTATAAAATGAAAAAAATAAACAAACCTGTCCCCTTGTGATAAGCACTGCCGTGTATATATAGTCAACTCCTGTCACCAAAGACTTTCCAGTAGAGATAGGTATGGAGAATATTGCAGACACTGTTCATGTCATCTGGAGAAGTTGATGACCTAATGGCAAACTTTTCAATCCTTAGCGTCTATGAGATTTCTGACAAGAGAAAATAATTTTGAACTAAAGATGCCAGAGTTGGATCTGGCTGAAATGTGGGAGGAACAGAGACGCGGAGAAGTTCAGGAAAGACAGAGATGTAGTGAGAAAGTGAATGAAGTCTGAGGTGCAAACGGTTTGCTGCTCATCAGACAAACGCACAAGGCATTTACATCAGCCACGCCTGAGCTTTCAAGTGTCTGCTATTGACAGAAAAGCTTTGGTCCCAGGGCCTTTCCCAGGGCGAACCTCTGGTCTCCCAGATAGACATACTGAGTAATTTATCTCTGTTCCACATACACTTCATTCCCGAGTTGGCAAATTTATAAGCTGTACTTCTGTTTTAGTCTCTACTCTTCAATTCTGGTCAGTTGTTCATCCCTGAGCTCCAGCCCATTGGTAATGGTCTGTGCCATCTTATCTTTTTCATGCCACAGTTAATCCTCGGGCCTTGACCCTGATTTTTTTGGCAAGTGGATGCCAGCCTGCAACTCAGAAGATAAAGCTAAGGGGGAATCACAGATGGATTTCTATTACAAATATCTGTTTAGACATTGCTTGTCTTCAGAATGGAATGAAATAAAAATTGTATCTAGAATATACTATAAGGGAAGGCTGTGGTTCTCATATTTGCCCAGTCAACACAGAAGATGCCTCTTCTTGGGATGATTCAATTATAAATGTGCCACAAATTCTTTTTTCATGTTGATGGAATTAAGTGGTGTGGATTTATCAGAAGTACTGCATGGCAGGACTACAAACTGCTGTGTCTGTGAAGTTTTGTGTTGTATACATCCAATTATCAATGGTATCAACCATGATAGAGGAAAGACTGACTTATTTTTAATTAATAGATGTTTAGAGCAGTTTTAGGTTTACATAAAAGTTGGACAAGAAGTACAAGGAGTTATCATATTCTCTTTACCCCTCCTTGCCTTCAGTTTCCCCTATGAATTGACATCTTGCGTTGGTACGGTACACTTGTTAGAATTGCTGAGCCAACATATCAACTAAAGCCCATAGTTTAGGTTTATGCTTCCCTCTTTGTGTTATGTATTCTGTGAGTTTTGACAAATCCATAATTTCATGCATCTATCATTATAGTATCATGTAGAATAATTTTAGTGCTCTAAAAATCTCTTGTGCTTCACCTATTGGTTCCTGTTCTCTCTCGGAGTGCCAGTCCCTGGCAATTATTGTTTTACTCTCTCCATGAGTTTCACCTTTTCCAGAATGTCATATAGTTGGCATCGTAAGCTTTTCAGATTGGCTTCTTTTACTGAATATGGATTTTAAGTTTCCTCCATGTTGTTTTGATGCTTTATAGAACATCTGTTTTTATCACTGAATAATATTCCATTGGCTGCCAAGCTGTCTTCCAAAGTGACTGTACCTTTTTTGCATCCCTGCTATCAATGAGTAAGAGTTTCTATTCCTCTACATACTTGCCAGCATTTGGTATTGTCAGTATTTTAGATTTCAGCCATTTTAATAGATGTAGTAGTATCATATGGTGATTTTAATTTGCAATTCCCTAGTGCCATATGATCTCAAGCATCTTCTTATATGCTTATTTGCCATCTGTATATCTTCCTTGGTGAGGTTCCTGTTCATATCTCTTGCTCAGTTTAAGTTCAGTCGTTTTCTTATTTTCTGGTTTTGTATGCATATTTTGCATACAAGTCCTTTATCAAATGTGTTCTGCAAATTTTTTCCAGTCTGTAAGTATATTCTATTACCAGTGTATTTTGTAGAACAGAAGTTTTTATTTTAATAAAACCTCACTTTTTTTTTTTTTTTTTAACTTTCATAAATAGTGCTTCTGGTCTTGTATCTAAAAGCTCATTGCTAAACCTAAGGTCATCTAGATTTATTCTATAGATGATGACATTATAAAATCAGTGAAATCATATTCAGCCAAAAAATTAGGGAAATATTTTAGAGGTTAATTCACTAAAAATTTTTAGGTAGTTCTATAATAAAATATTTTGTTATATTTCTAATTTATCTCTGCTTTTTTTAAATACACAATTTCATATGATTCATCCTCTCATTCTGTATCAGTACACATGGTCATTTCTCATTTTGTAATCTTATTAAGAGTCTTCAAAATTGTACAAGATTCCCACAAAACCTGGATCTGGCTCTGAGTCCAGCCTCAGGACAGCCAAGGGACCTTGGGTTCCAGAGCTCATCTGCTATTGTTTTAACAGTGAGTAGTGGGCAAGCCAGATTTCATGGCTGGCCCACAAAGATGCCTAGTTAGCAAGAGGCAGGCCCAAGGGTCATAACATTGTCAGAGGCCAGGTTCTCAGTTCAAGCAAATAAACCTCTGAAAATCCAAGTGTTGTCTCAACTGGTCCCTGCAAGCATTGCCCAAAACTGAACACACTGCCCCAAAATCAGTTTCTTTCAGTTCATCTCATCCAACTGCTCAAGCCAGAAACTCAGATATTATGGAATCTTCCCTTTCTCTTTAATTTTCCATATCTCATCAGTCATTGCATTCTTACAACTATGCATTATAAACAACACTTGATGGCTAGTTCTGTCTCTTCTCAGCCCCTATACATGATGTTTACTGTGCTTCGTATCCCTCTAGCTGGCTCCCACTCAACCTTCTGGAGTAAACACAGAAGTAATATCTTCCAGAAAATCTCAATGCATTGCAACTGGGTTAGGTGCCTCCTCCTGTGATTTCTTGCAGCACCCAATTGACCCTTCATAACATGTAATATGTTGTGCTATAATTGCTGAATTTTTAAAATTATTTTTCGTAATTAAAAGTCCAATAAAGTGAAAAACAGGTGCTTGTTGTAACAAGTCAAATAGTATAGAGAAGTACCAGGAAAATTAATGAGCTTCCCCTAGCCACCGCCCCCCATATAAACTTAATGCATTGTTGTTAATAGCTCCATTGTATCCTAGCAAGGATCTACTACAATTTAGTCAACTATTCACCTGCTTGTGAAGTTTTTGTTTTTGTTTTTTGTTGCAATACACATCCTTGCATATGCTGGGACTTTCATTTTTGTAGATTATATTCCCAGAAAAAAAGGATATGTCTATCTTTAATAGACATTGCAAGATTTTTCTACAAAAGATAGCAATTCACCCTCCCGCCAGCAATGCATGAGTAGTGCCTGTGCTTCACAGTCTTCAACATTGATGCTGTCACTATTTTGTTAGGTGATGGAAAATATGGTATTTCATTGTTTTATGAAATGGCATTGCCCTGATTATTTGAAAATATTTTAATATGTTTGTTGGTAATATATATTCTCTCTTCCATGAATTGACATTTCACATTCAGGGCCAGTTTTTTTTACTGGATCCTTTATCTCGGTCTATAGGGTTTTTTATTACTTTACTTATAACATATGATATGCAAATAATTTTTAATATTTATGTAATCCAATATATTTTTTCTTCATGGTTTCTAGATTCAGTCTTATGTTAAATCAAGTTTAGCCTAAAGCTGCCTCCTTACGTATTTTAAGTTCAGCCTAAATGTTTGTCTGTACATCATGAAATTTAACCTAAATGGAAGTGTAAACAGACTGTAGCCTACGCTCGTGCCAATCACTGAGTTTTAGCCAAATGTGGCCAAATGCTCATACTGTGTTCAAATAAGGCAAATGCTGAGCTATAACCAATCCACCTGTTTCTGTACTTCACTTCCATTTATCGTACTCGCTTTCCTTTTTCTATCCATAAATCTTCTTCCATCACGTGGCTGCCCTGGAGTGTCTCAGCCTACTCTGGCTTGGGAGGCTGCCCGATTCACGAATTGTCCTTTGCTCAAACTGTTAAATTTAATCTGGGTGAAGTTTCACTTCTAACACTTAATTTCTCTCTCACTTCTAGGCTTATAAATATTCTTTAGTTACTTTTATTTCATTAGTATTATACATCTTTGCCATGTTTTGACCTTAAACAATCTGAAACTTACTTGCCTGTGAGTTCCTTGAGGCTATGGACTGTGCCTGACTTATGGAAACCAAAATATGCCACCCCAAAATATACTTTGACTTATTTTGAGATGGCTATTCAGAGGGCCTAACAAAATCAGGAAAAGCTTTGAAAAGGTGTCCTTTTGTGGGGAAAATTTGCATCTCTAGAGAAAAAAAAAAACGTTAGTGAGGTAAATAGCAGATCAAATAGTCTTTCTCTGAAGCCCCCTTATCTGCCTTATATGGAAATTATTAACTAACAGAAAAAGTGGCTGAAAGTCTGACCCTTTTCAACATCTTACAAAGAACTCTCATCACAGCCTACCATATATTCTTCCGGAGCTTCAAGATTATCTGAGAGATTTTTCTCTCTCTAACAAGATGGTCTTTCCTTACCATCTTTTCTTCCTCTCATTCTCCTATAACCAGTGTCCCTACCCTCCTCCCAAGAAACCCCAAGCCTCTATTCTATCTGTAACCTCAGGATAATATAAAAGTTCAGTCATGTGGCCCTTGAGTCTCATATTTGTAAGACTTCTGTGCCCACGTACATATAAATCTGTATGCTTTTTTATGTTAATCTATTGTCAGTGTTTCATTTTTTAATTTATAATTGATGCAGAATTGTACATATTTGTGGCATACAGTGTGGTGTCTCAATGCAGGTATCCATTCTATAATGATCAAACAGGGTAATTACCATATCCACCAATTTATTTATTATTTCTTTGTGGTGACAATATTCAAAATCTTCTCATACAGCTATCTTGAAATATACAATGCATTGTTATCCACTTAACATAATGTCCTCCAGCCTCATTCATGTTGTCACAAATGACAGGATGCAATCTCTATCAAAATACCAATGAAATTCTTAATGGAAATAGAAAAAGCAATCCTAAAATTCATATGAACGGCAAATGTCCCTGATAGCTAAAACAATCTTGAGCAAAAAGAACAAAGTTGAAGAAGACATCACACTGACTTTAAAAACATACTACAAAGCTATAGCAACCAAAACACCATAGCAGTGGCATAAAAACAGACATATAGACAGATCAATGGAACTTAATAAAGAACCCAGAAATAAATTCATTAATGTGAAGCCAACTGATTTTTGACAAAGGTGCCAAGAACACATATTGAGGTAAGGACATTCTCTTCAATAAATGGTGCTGGAATAACTGGCTAGCCATGTGCAGAAGAATGAAACTAGACCCCTATCTCTCACCATACACAAAAATCAACTCTAAATGGACTAAAGACTTAAATGTAAGACCTGAAACTACTAGAAGAAAAAATAAGGGAAACACTTTATGAAATAGGACTAGGCAAGAATTTTTAGAAAAAGACCTCAGAAGCACAGGGATCAAAGCAAAAAATAGACAAACAGGATTATATCAAATTTAAAAACTTCTGCACAGCAAAAGAAACAATCCATAAAGTGAAGAGACACCTTATGGAATGGGAGAAAGTATTTGCAAACTATGTCTCTGGCAAAGACTTGATATACAGAATATGTAAATAATTCAAACAACTCAATAGCACAAAAATCAAATAATCAAATTTAAAAATGGGCAAAAGGCCTGGATAGGCAGTTTGTTTTGTAGCATCAAATTATCAAACCTTTAGAAGGGGAAGGAAAGAAAATTTCCTTTGCCTCTATACTGATTTACCCACTTATCTGCCGTGGTTAGTATAGGGTCTGGCATGTAAGAGATTTTCAAAAACATTTGTCGTACTCAAGTAAACAAATAAACAAGTGAATGGACAAAATTATATATGTTTCCCTTAAACATATCAATCTATTCATATATCATGTACCTAACATGTGGTCAACAAAATGAAAGGGACTAGCAACACAGTTCTTCCCTTTGAGGAAATCACAGATTAGTGAGGGAGGCAAACCTATGTGATAGAATCACATTTACAGATATTAACAGTTGTTTTTGTATTTCTTGCCTCTCCACTACCAAAAATATGAGTGCCATTAGACATGCAGCACTCACTGCCTCAGGGAAGCGATCACAAGGAAGACAGAAGAACCACATTTTAGACACAGAATTTCAATAGAAAAACAGGAAAAAGCCAGTCCCAACTTCTACCGCCTTCACAGTCTAGATTAATTTTTTTTTTTTGGCTGAGATTTTTAAAAATAAATCTTCATTTGTGTCTTAAGGGAGGGGGAGTAACGGATAAAATAGCTCAGTCAGATGTTAGTATGTGGCTTTAAAAGGAGAAGGAAACTTTGCCCCTTTCCTGGGAAAGACCTTGAAAAGCAGCAAGAGTCGCTAGGTCCTCCCTGCCCAATCTAGTGTGAAGAGCAATATAATAATTTCCTAGATGACCAATATAATCACAGTAAGCAGAAAGAAGGTGGTTTTAAGGAACTCCTACGGTTCTCCAATGACTACAAGATGGCATGAGAGAAAAATAGGGCTTCTTTGAAGCTTGAGAGGGACATACATGTGGGCAGAGCTTGAGTAGGCCCAGCAGAGTGTTTTGACTGGGAACAAAGTCAGAGAAAACAATGCCCTGCATTGACCCACAGCTTGCAAACCAGTTTGGACACAGTATCGCTTAGCAGATGCTACAGAGCTAAGTGATGTTCAAGGACTAGCTGCAATCCTGCCATGATGATAATAATGCCCAAGAACTCAAGAACAATCTTCAAAAATTGGAGAAAGAGTAGTGCATCTGAAGTGACTAAAATTATTTCTGTCACCCATAAGAAAGGGAGGCACAAAATGTTAATATAACTCAGAGTGAATAAATCTGACATGTGTGCTGCTACATACATAAGCAAAGAATTACAATATAATGTAGTAACTAGAGTAAGAGATGTTAAGAACAGGGTAATACGGGACACCATGGAGGAGCATCCTGGGAAGGCTCCAAAGAGACAGTGGTGTTTACGTTTAAAAGTAAGTTACCCAAGTGAATGAGTTGGGAAGGAACTTCCAGACAGAGAAGGAAGCAGGGGATAAAACTTAAACACCAAAAAAAGCATATTTTTAGAGCATAAAACACAGGAGAGGGGAGATGACAGAGATCAGGTTGTACCTACAGAGCAAATTGATTCAAATGATGACAGAAATGTTAGCATTAAACCAAATATGTCATCAGCAGCTATAATGACCACAGCTTCAAGTATCTGATGTTGACATTTTAAATTACCTATGTGATTTAAAAGGTAGCAAATCTATCCCTTCTATTTTTGTTTCCCATTATGGGTAAAGGTTCAAAATTCAGCAAGCATCTAACTTTTTTCATTGGTCTGTTTATAAGGCCTACTTGTTATACGAAATACACTAGAAGGACAAAATATTATGGGCTCTGAAATTGTTAATTGATCTCATGAGCTGAATATTGCCTACATTTAATAATTTAGGACTGGAGTGACTGTGTGGTTCATTTTGTTTGTTAGACCTGATTAACTTCTGTACCTTTCCTGAAGTAGCACTGGAAAGGGATGTTGTTCTTCTGAATGTTAAATGTTAAGTAATGACCAGAGACAGGATTTCATTGTTTCCACTTAGCACCATTAAATAAAGACACATGATGGGGAGACGTCTAAACGCAAGCCTCAACATGTGGTAGAATTCAGTCATCACTTTGCAATGAGACCCTCAGTACCAGAGTATTCATCAGACAAGTGTTAGTGTGGGCTTTGCACATGGCTAAGTAGCAAGCTCAGGTGCTCTCTCACTCTCCCTCTTTGACCTATTTTCCCGGGTCTAATCTAATCACTAATTCTTTCTTATCTCTAATCAGTGTAGGTGAGAACACCCAAAACACAAAGTTAAATGCTTTAGACACATGGGAATGATGCCCTGCTTTAAGAAAAACAAACATGGTATGAATGACTCCCAACTCCCCACTCAAAATATATTAGTTTTTAAAAATTATTTTAACTTTATAAAAAATATTTACAACAGGCTCTCAGCATTTCAATTATGAATGTTCTATAAATATTTGCAGACTATGCTGAAATTAGTTTATTACATAAAAGGAGGTACACCTGCAGAGAGTAATTAAATAGTTGCACTGGAAGAGAAATGGTGGCATTTGTTATTATTGTATTCTCAGAATTGACTCATTTTTCATATAAGCCACTAGATCTCATAAAATCATGGCCAGAATTATGAGTACCTGATATAATGGAGAGTTTAGAAATTGTCTATTATATTTTGGTTAATAAGCAAAACATTTGGCATTTATATATGCACATAAGCATTCCATTGAGTAACTCACACTTTGTTATTCAGAAAGTCGATAACAGATATTAAATTATTAAGCTGTCACTTTATTTAAAATCAACTTCATTTCACACTTTTAAGTAACAGTCATATGTCAGAGACCACTAAATGTTATATGAAATATACAGGACATAACTGTGGCTGCTATAGCACTTACAACAGGGAGAAAATAAAAATTACAACAATACTTACTACATGAGGCAGAATAGGATCACACTGAAATACAGCTGACCCTTGAACAATGCAGGTTTGAACTGCACAGATCCACTTACATGTGGATTTTCTTCTACAGTTACTATCCCTCAGACGGCAAGACCAACTCCTCTTTTTCCTCCTTCACCTATTCAATGTGAAGATGAGGATGAAGAACTTTATGATGGTCCACTTCTATTTAATGAGTAGTAAATATAGTTTCTCCTCATAATTTTCTTAACATTTTTTCTCTGGTTTTCTTTAAGAATACAGTATATAATACTCATATAAAATATGTGTTAATTGACTGTTTATGTCATTGGTAAGGCTTCCAGTCAACAGAAGGCTATTAACAGCTAAGTTTTGGGGGAGTCAAAAGCTATAGATTTTCACTTGTGCAGGAAGTCAGCACCCCTAACCTTCACATTGCTCAAGGGCCAACTGTATACACAAGATATTAATATCTTATATGCATACATTATCTCATTGAATCATCCCAAAAACCTTTGCAGTACACTCATTGTCCCCACTGTTACAGACGGGAACAGAGAGGCTAAGGAACATTAGGTAACTCACTAAAAATCACGAGCTTGATAAATGGCACTAATGATAAATAGCTCAGGTTCAAAATCAGGCAGGTTTTATAATTCCAAAATTGTTGCTCCACCCACCTTGCCTACTACCGGAGT
This sequence comes from Homo sapiens, assembly GCF_000001405.40. Taxonomy (NCBI): domain Eukaryota; kingdom Metazoa; phylum Chordata; class Mammalia; order Primates; family Hominidae; genus Homo; species Homo sapiens. Next base: position 147,614,579 of record NC_000023.11, read on the forward strand.
GCAGAGTGTGGGAGAAGCAGTATCAGGAAATAAAAGCCCAAAGGTGAATCAGAGCCAGACTGTGGATACTTGGAATGTCACAGTAATAAGTTTTCACTTCATCCTCTGTACAATAGGAAGGCACTGAAGTCCTTTAAGCAGAACAGCAACGATATCCAATTGTTATTTTAGAAAGATCAGATCATGCCTCACTATGAGTAATAGGCTTTAGGAGCAGCTAGAAGCTGAACAAGAGTCCCATTAGAAGGTTGTTGTAGTTCAGAGGAGCAATAATGGTGGTCTAGATCAGTAAAGTGACAGTGAAGGTGGAAAGTAATAAATGTTGGTGACATCGTGCATGCAAGATCAATCTGACCTTGGAGCTTTGATCCAGAGGACAAGTGGGCATGAGAAGCAAGAGAAGTACCTCAGCTTAGCACTAGGGCACCTAGAAGGATGGGATGACTATTAACCGACACCAAAACAGAGAAAGCCGCACAAATTTAGAATCCAGAAGAAAATGATAAGAGGGCTTATGAATGTTTCCATGTTTTCTTTTCCAGTGGCACATTTACTTATTACAGCCTGAATTTTCATGATGCTAAATAAGCAATATGTTTACACCTGATCAACTGGTCAGGTTGATGCATCGGCAGGGCAGGTTACTTGAAATATGCAGAGCAGCCCATGAATGAATCCTCAAGATGATTACATCTGTTAAAGTGGATATTCTTGAGGTCAGTGTCCTCTGACATTTGTAAGTCCAGGAACTGGGCTCCGGCTTCAGGGCTCAGTAAACCAATAGATTCAGCCAATGGCTACTTCCCAAAGAAGTGTCAGAAGATACTTTAACAGGAACTAAGACCTTCAATGTAATCCAAATGATTTATTTTCACAGCAGCTAAATAAAGTATGTTATCTTTTCATACAGAAAAGCAGATAAGTATATGAGGGCAAATCTCTAAAACTTGCCAGTTCCTGAACAATACCGGAAATGGAAAAGCTTTTGAATACTGGGTCTTCAAACACTGCTGTTCTCACCCGTGCAGGCCTCTATCTCCTCAGAAAGCCTCCTAAAGGCCATCTCCACAATAAAATGCAAAACATTCAAATGAAGACTGCATTCTAAGGGGGTTTGTCAGAAGACAAAATTCGGACTGCCCAGTTTTTTCATCCTGTTATCAGTTCAGATAGAGAGTTGACTATGTGGGTAAATGTTCCAGGCAGTGGTAATTAAGAAGCATCAAAACAATGCAGTGATAAATGAATCCATTGACTCATTCATCCATTCATCTGGGAAAGCAGTATACCCCAGTGATCACAGGCTATGGGGTCAGAAAGACATTGGTTTGACTCTCATCTACCTCCTAGCTTTGTGGCATCAGGCAAGTCACTTAACCATGCCTCAATTTTCTCATCTGTGAAAGGAGAGTGATAATGGCAAATATAAACGTTACATATTTAATGCTGTGCCTGGCACAAAGTGGTCAGCCAAAGACTAGTAGTGAGGTTAACACTCAATATTTATGGAACACCTGCCACGTGCAAGTCAATGAACTGCAGGCAGCAGAGAAACAAAGAGGCCCCTGCTCTCCAAAAGTGTTTATCTGGAAATCTGAATTGGAAAGCAAAGTATCATGAGCCTTTTTCTTTAATAAGGCAGGCATATTTATGCCAACTCAGCTTTCATAAGCCACAAACACTGCTGAACATATTACTACTTCTCTACGAAAGGAATCATTGACTTTTACATTATAACCGCTACAACACAATTCAGGGAAAAAAAGATTTTAAAATAAAAATATATTAATGAATTATTCATCTTTGATTCTACTCCCAAGAAGGAGCATGATACATTTTTATGGTTTCAAAGGTGAGACTCAAGTCATTATTCTGAAGTATGTTTTGAGAAACACTGATTGTGAGCAATTAACTGCAGCACTCATAAGATGACTGTAATGCTTCATTTGTTCAAATAATTGTGCATGCCTCCAAATGAGCGGACCAGATACAAGCAACCGCAAAACACATTTACAAAACTGAGACTTTATTCTTCAAAACATGTTTGAACTGCTAGTTTGTTTTGTCTTCCAATCTCCATAACAAACATTCCAAAAAAGGCCTTCTTACACTTTAATTATGAAATAAAGAGACATCCAAAGGAGTGAGAACTATTTCCAGACACTGAGTCCTGTGCAAAAAAATAGCTTGTTAGCTTAAACCAAATGTTTTCAAATAACGGGATTTATTATTTCAAATTTTTATAAATACCATAGTAATTGGTTTGTAAATTTAATTTCCAGATGGCATTTCCCCAAAATCATTTAGAGAAAAACAGTAACTCAGGACTGAGAAGCTTTCTACCATAACGTGATTTTGCATTCTTACAGATGAAAGGGTTTGGTGGTGCTGTTTAGGTTTTATTTTCTTATGCGGCGGAACCTTATCAGATATTATAGTCAAGCTATGCTACAGTCAGATGGTTGTAGAGGTACTCCCATGGCACTCCTCATTAAGATAAATTATTTTGCTTCTAAGACTATTTCAGCCCATATAATTTTAAATACAATTTTTAATTAATAGTTTCCTAGTTACATGGTAATTGTGGTTCCCACCAAAAGGCAGGTTCAAATCCATATGACAGGATCAGTTGCAAAACAGAACAGACTCCTAGAGATAGAAACCGAGTTCACACAACAGAGTATGAAACCAGCAGAAACATTCCACAGCCTCCAAAGCACCTTCTCAACTTCTAAGGTATTGAAAACAGTAACAATGAACTTGAAACTCTCCAACTGGATTAACCAACAGGCTTATTTCATACCGTAAGCTATATTTTTCTGAACTGGACAATGCATTTTCAAATCCAGGTTCCCATTAGCCTATTTCAGAACTTATTACTAGAATTATACATTCCATAGTGAGATTGACCATACATATTAATTTTTCTGTGCTGTTCACAGAACATTTTCTTTTGCACCTCCAAGTCTCTTTTAGTCATAAATATAACAGTAATCCCTAGTGACATATTCAGTGATAACAATTGACTGTGTTCTCTCTTCAAAACTGTTTTTCCTAAGATGCTGGTTTTAATTAGCCTCACAAATTCAAAGTAGAAGCCAGCTGCCCTTTATGCCAGCATTCGAGGTATTGTGTTTTTGCTCAAGATCCTTAGTATTTGCTTTTACCCTATATGTGCACCACAAAAAAAGCTCGTGAGTTCTCAGGACTAAAATGTTTCCCATAAAATAGAATGTTGAAATTCAGATGATGAATTCTTACTACCAATTCTTTGAGAGATCTCTCCTATGCTCACAATTATTTCGAGTTAAATAGAATGAGTGTAAGAAAGGATGAAATTGAGCATTCAGATACCACTCCTGTGAGCAGAGCATTAAATCTGAGGCTTCTTCCAGCTTGTCTTCTGTTGACTACCCTAGCCTTCATTTCAAAAAGCCTCTTCAGAAACACAACTTTAGGATATTAATGGTGATTCCCAAAATCTAAGCCCCAGTTGGCTATCATCTCTTTCTCTGTGTATTTACACTGTCTTTTTCTTCATCACCCATACATATTTCATAACTAATTCTAATTCCTAAAGGTGTATCTGAGGGCGTAGTTTTTTATATATGTATAGATAAATGATTAAAAGGTAAAATATTTTCATATATGTATCCCCTGATAAATCTTTCCAGGAAAAAAAGTGACTTAGCTTTTGGTAGTGGGAGGAGAGTGTAGTGCTGTTATTTAAATTGCTTTAGTGCCATTTCTTGAACACTCACTGTATTATACTAAGTTTTGAGGAGGTGTAAAAGACATTAAGTTTTGTGCTCTTAAGAAATGTGTAATAAAACAGGAGTCACCATGAAGACACATACAAAGTTCCAAAAACATATCATTCAAATTTGCATTTAGCTGACTAAATAAAGTGATGCAAGAATATATATACATAAAAGGGGTAGGTTTCCTGGAAGCATTAGTATCAAAATATGTAAAACTCATAAACCTTTGAAGTAGGCAAAGGGCCGTGTGGTTGCAAGGTGGCAGTACAGCATTTACAACTGGTATAATGCTTCGCATGAAAAACCAAAAGGAGCAATCAAACCCTGCAAGTTCCCCCAAAGCAAGGACCTAAGCAAAGTATTCACTCTGAATTTGGGTACATCCAGAGGTCCAAAAGGATATGCCAACCATAATTTTTTTAAACCTGATAGATACGTAGGCACATTAAAGAGATCTTGATTGACTAGGTTAAGGGCAAATAGTTGTCTCCCAAGCATTCAAAGAATAGGGACACCCCCCTCAACCTCCCAAGCAACAAACTGTGTGTATATCAGAGAATGAGGCCCCAAGCCAAAACAAGCACACTGTTGGGAGGTTAGTGGGAGTCAGAAAAAAAAGATGATTTTGAGTACCACAAGGTTTTGGGTCACTGAGGACTCCAGGGATATTGTGCCAAGCCTCTTGGGATGGTGGACTGTAATAAAAATAACTCTAAAAAATTATGTCACCCATAATAACACAAGAACTGAGACCATGAGAGCATAAGGCAGCAGTGCCTGTAGACTGACTAGGAGAAAGACATTGCAGAGCACTGGAGCTACAACCTCACTCTCTTTCCTCCCTCTTCAGGGAGATGGCTGTTGAAAACGGAAGTAGAGAAGAGAGATACTGGGAAAGAGGGCATCCTGAGTTCAGATTCTTAATTCTGTCTTCCTGGTGACTCTCTGTAGGACCAACTAAATAGCTAAAAGTAACCCTGACAACATACACTTTGGTGCCTAGAAAAAAATCCATGACAGTATCTGAGATATTGAGCCTCTTAGAAAAAAAGGGTTAACAGTAGAACGTCATTGGCTTTATAGCTGTAAGGTTAGTAACTAGAACATAAAACTTTATGAACAGGCTTGTCTCTCCAGTGGAGTATGGAACACAATATACAGTTGCCCAGGAGATTGGGCAATGAAGGTAGGGTGAAGTTTAGCTCACCTAGTGGATTCACTTATTGCAGGGAGAGAATCATCTGTGTACAGTTCTAGGAGAGTCCAGCTATTCCTGTCAATAACAGCAGGCTGAATACCATCTCTAGCAGAATCCTACTGGTTTTTCTAAATGGAAATAGAAAACAGTTCTACAATTCATATGGAACCATAGTAAGCCCTGAATAGCCAAAACCATCTTGACCAAAAAGAACAAAGCTGGAGGGATTATGCTTCCTGATTTCAAAATATATTAAAAAGGTACAGTAATTAAAATAGTATGGTACTAGCATAAAGACAGACATGTAGACCAATGGAACAGAATAGAGAGCCCATAAGTAAACCCATGAATGTATGATTAAATTATCTTCAATAGGGTTCCCAGAATTCACAATGGGGTAAGGATAGTTTCTTCAAAAAATTGTGTGTTGAGAAAACTAGACATCCACATGGAAAAGAATGCAATTTGATCTTTATCTGTGATGGTTAATATTAAGTGTCAACTTGATTGGGTTGAAGGATGCAAAGTATTGTTTCTGGGTGTGTCTGTGAGGGTGTTTCCAAAGGAGATTAACATTTAAGTCAATGGACTGGGAGAGGCAGACCCACCCTCAATCTGGGTGGGAACCATCTAATCAGCTGCCAGCATGGCTAGAATAAAGCAGGCAGAACAAAGTGGAATGAGGAGACTTGCTGAGTCTTCCAGCCTTCATCTTTCCTCCCATGCTGGATGCTTCCTGCCCTCGAACATCAGACACCAACTTCTTCAGCTTTCGAATTTTTGGACTTCCACCAGGGATTTGCCAGGGGCTCTAGGGCCTTCAACCACAGACTGAAGGCTGCACTGTCGGCTTCCCTACTTTTGAGGTTTTGGGGCTCAGACTGGCTTCCTTACTCCTCAGCTTGCAGATGGCCTATTGTGGGACTTCACCTTGCAATCATGTGAGTCAATTCTCCTAATAAACTCCTCTTCGTATATACATCTATCCTATCAGTTCTATTCCTTTAGAATACCCTAATACATTGCCTTGTACCATACACAAAAATCAAGTTGAAATGAATTAGGAATTTAAGTATAAGACCTGAAACTCTAAAGTGTCTAGAACAACACATAACAGAAAAGCTACATGAGGTTGATCTAGGCAATGATTTCTTGGTGTGATCACCAAAAGTACAGCAACAAAAACATAATAGACAGGTGGGACTACATCAAACTAAAAAGCTGCTGTACAGCAAAGGAAATGATCACAAAATATAAAGGCAACCTGTGTAATAGGAGAAAATATTTGCAAACAATATATTTGGTAAGAGATTAATATCTAAAATAGATAAGAAACTCCTAAAACTCAATAGCAAAAAAGCAAATAACTCAATTAAAAAACAGGTAGAGGATATAAAAAGTAACTTCTATAAAGAAGACATACAAATGGTAAATGGGTATATGAAAACATGCTCAATATCACTAATCATCTGGGAAATGCAAATCAAAACCACAATGAGATATCATCTCATACTTGTTAGAATGGCTATTCTCAAAAAAAAAAAAAAAAAACAAAAACAAAAAACAAAAGATAACAAGTGTTGGTGAGGATGTGGAGAAACTGGAATTCCTGTACACTGCTAGTAGGAAAATAAAATGGTAGAGCCACTGTGGAACAAAGTATGGAAGTTCCTAAAAAAATTAAAAATAGAACCACCAGATGATCCAGCATACCCCTCCTGGGCTATTACTGAAAATACTTGAAAACAGAGTATCAAAGAGCTGTCTGCACTCCCATGTTAATCGCAGCATTACTCATAGCCAAGACATGGAAACAACGTAAATGTTCATCAATGGACAAACAGATAAAGAAATGTGGCATAAACATACAATGGAAATTTATTTAGCCTTAAAAAATAAGCGAGTCTTGCTATTTGTAACAATATGAATGAAACTGGGGGACATTATGCTAAGAGAAATAAGCCAGGCACACAAGGAAAAATACTATATAATCTCACTTACGTAAAGTATCTAAAATAGTCAAACTCATAGAAACACACAGTAGATTGGTAGTTGCCAGGGGCTGAGGAGAGGGGCAAGGGGGGAGTTATTTTTAATATAGATATAAAGTTTCGGTTATACAAGATGAGTAAGTTCTAGACACCTGCTATAAAACATAGTGCCTATCTTTAACAACACTGTATTGTGCACTTAAAAGTTTTGTTGAGGGTAGATCTCATGTGAAGTGTTTTTCTCACAAAAAAGGAGGGCATAAGGAAACTGAGAGGTGATGGGTACGTATATTACTCTGACCGTGGTGATGGTTTCAGGGGCATATGGATGTGTCCCAACTTATGAAACTATATACATTAAATATGTACAAATTGTTACATAATTATGCCTCAATACAGCTACTAATTTTTTTCTTGTACAACAAAACCTGACATTTCAAAAAGATAATGGTTTTTTGGAAGATAAAAAAATGAAAAACCTAACAGCACAGAGAAAAAAAAAAAGTTAATAATAAGACAGTGAGGAAAGAGCCAAAAGACCTGAGATATGATTACTAAGAGCTTCATGAAAAAAAAAAACAGGAAGAAATAGAAGAGAAGTAAACTATCAATGATATACTAGCAACAATTTTCTTGAGCTAATGAATGACTTCGGTGTTGAGGCTCTAAGACTTTGCTGAGGCATAGGCAGAGTTAATAAAATAATTACATACAATCATCCCTTTAACATCCTGGGGGATTAGATCTAGGACCCCCACAACGGATACCAAATCTGAAGATGCCCAAATCCCTTATATAAAATGGCATAATATTTGCATATTGCCTATGCATCTCCTCCCATATATTTTATTTTTACTTCTCTTTGCTTTTGTTTTTGAGACAGTCTTGCTTTGTCACCTAGGCTGGAGTGCAGTAGCATCTCTTCTCACTGCAACCTCCACCCTGCCGGTTTAAGCAATTCTCCTGCCTCAGCCTCTCCAGCAGCTGGGATTACAGGCATGCACCACCACACTTGGCTACCTTTTTTTTTTTTTTTGTATTTTTAGTAGAGACAGAGTTTCACCACGTTGGCCAGGCTGGTCTCGAACTCCTGACTTCAAGCAATCCACCCACGTCATCCTCCCACAGTGCTGGGATTACAGGCATAAGCCACCGCACCTGGCCATCCCATGTATTTTAAATCATCACTAGATTCTTCATAATCCTCACACAATATAAATGCTATGTAAATAGTTGTTATACTTTATATTATTTTTATTGTTGTAGTGTTATTTGTATTGGTTATTTAAAGAAATATTTTTGATCCAAGGTTTGGTTACACCTGCAAATGTGGAACCCATGCATACAGAGGGCTGACTGTAGTTGGATCTACTGTGATAAAATTTTTGAACTCCAAGGATGAAAAATACTCTTGAAAGCTTCAAGAAAGGAAGAACTGGTTTCTTGTGAAGAGAAGATAAGCAGACTAACATCAAGTATCCTCTGTGCAATACTAGAAGCTAGAATCGAGTGCAGCAACAGCTACAGTTTACTGGGAAAAATGAATTGCGATATTAGAATCCTGTAGTGCCCAAGGTCTCACTTACAGGAGATAACAAAGAAAAGGTATTTTAAGACATGCAAGGACTCAAAAGGTACTTTCTCAAGAACTCACTCAAAGAAGTACTTCAGCCAAATAAAAAATCTAAACAAAAATCTCCTAAACAAAGTATAAGAAATAGCACTGAACAATGAATTGTATCATATTTATAATTATATATAAATGAATTAGGATAATAACACTGGAAACTATATAAAAGTGTTTTGTAAGGATTCTTGAAACAGAAGAGACATTTTCTAATTTAAAATATATAGTGTCTGAAACTAAAATTCCAAACCATCTAAGAAAAACCCAGGAGATACAGGGTAAAAGTGTAAGAAGGTATAGGGCATTCCGGAATGGGAAAGTAAATGGCTTTTTTAAAGGTATTGATGGAGATGGAGTAGAAAAGTACATGACTTAGAGGAAGAGGGAGCATATTCTATTTAAATTTGATACAACAGATAAATGCAGATACAAATATGCAAGCTATTACAAAAAGTGATATTCCATTTTAAGAAGATTGACAAATTCAACTACATATAAATCAAAACTTTCTGAATGTATGAAAATCACTTAAAGACAAACATATTAGCTACCTATATCATCAAAGCCCTAATATCCTTAATATATAATTACAAACTTTAAATCAATAAGAAAATATCAATGATTCAATAGCAAAATAGATACATCGATAAGAACAGACAATTCTCTTGGAAGATACACATGAAATTGTTGACCATGTCTGCCTCTGGTGAAGGGAATGCAGTATCTGGGAGACCAGAGAGGAAGGATAAGTCATACCTCATTGTATATGTTTGCTTGTCTTTTGAATTTGGAGCATTGTATACCTTCTCCAAATTAAGGTACATTAAGAACTATAACAAAGAATTCACTCATGCTACAATCTAAGTGTTCTGCTTGAAGCTTTCCATACAAGCCTCATGCTGTCTTCAGCCTTAGGTCTGCCTTCCACTAGGGCTGAATCCTCTAAGTTTAGTCAGCCTATGAGCAAAGACAAGAAGGGGAACATAGAAGATCATGGGGGACCTTTTAGGGATAAGACTTTTAAGTGATACACATCACTTCTATCCACATTTTATTGATTAGACCAGTCCCATGGCCCCATCTCGATGCAAGAGTACTGGAAAATGTTATTTAGCTGCTGACCCAAGAAAGAGAAGCCAGGTTGGGTGAGTAGCCAAACTGTGCTCCAATTGCCTCAAAAACTTAATATTTTAAAGAGAAATAAAATAAAAGGATGTGTTAAGTTGTATCAGGAAAATGCAAAGGAAAAAGTAATATGCATATTAATTAAAAAATAACCCAAGATATAAAATATTAAAAGGGACAGAAATTTTGTGATGGTAAAAGCTGCAACCTACAAAGATTAGTGAAACAAGTCTAAATTATGAAACAAACTGTATAACATCATTACATTAATACATTAAGCAAAACCTTCTAAGAAGACAAAGAAAACTAAAAAAAAAAAAAAGTTGGATCATCGGTAGGTTAGGAGGCCATGCCACAAAACCTGTATAGTATTTGAATACTATAATTTGGAAACAATGTAACACACACACACACACACACACACACACACACACACACACACACACCTTTGTACCCTACAAATACCAACAACATATTTTATTGGAACATTAATAAAAATTGATCATATATCTGGCCACAGTAAAACCTAATTAGACTCTTAAATTTAAAAATGTACTTCACATAATACATAAATTTAAAAGTGTACTTTGCATAAATACACAAATATGTATTACATATTTACATATGTATATGTAATATATACATAAATTATGTAATATATACATATATACATATACATATACAATATATACATATGCTATATATACACAATATATACATAAATTATGTAATACATACATAAATATGTAATACATGTAAATATGAAGCGCATATTTACATATGTAAATATGTACTTCACATAATACATATGTAAATATGTACTTCACATGCCTGACAACAATCCAATAAAAATAAAATAGAAGTTAACAACTCAAAGATTGCCCCATAACTTCACCACTTAGAAATTAAGGAACACTCTGATAAACATCACCAAATTGAAGGAAAAAAATTGAAGTTATATATTTTCTATAATTTAACACAAAGTAAAATATCTCATGAAAGTATACAGGATATAACTAAAGCTGTATTCAGGAAAATGTACAGAGTTAAAACATTTTATTATTAAAAATAAAGTACTATATATAGAAATGAACTAAGTATTAAGCTAACAAACTAGAAAAACAAAACGAACCAAAAAGTTAGAGAGTAAATAAGAAAAAACCTAAAATTACTCAAATTACACTAAATCCATCCAAAACAGTAGAGGAGGTGTGGATGCAGGTTACACTTAGGCACTTCATGAATGAGAAGGAAAGTAAGGAGGTAGGGGGAGGGTGTCTTGGTTGCTGAGATTTTGCTGGTGGATCCTGAGTCAAAAATTGTTTTCTAACATTTCCTATGACCATGAATTTAGGGTACAGGATCCATCAAAATGTAATTTCAATTCTCAAAGGTCATACTCTTTCTAGATGAGCTGCAACCACCAGTCACAATATTACTTAAAAATCTTAGACAATGTGATTTAATGAATGTGAGTCAAACTCTCTCAGTGAGTCAAACCCAAACAGTCCCTGTAGGGACTGTTGACATCTTGAGAGACAGTATCCCTCGACTGTACTTCCATAGCAATTTATACACATCTCTGTTGCACCATTTATCACGCTGCCTCCTGAGTTGTAGGTTTGTGTGTGTCTTTTCCTTTGACTCCTTTAGGCACAGGACCATGTCTTTCTTCTTGGATCCTCCCAGTACCTCCATAGAGCCAAAAAATCTTTGATGAACAACTGAATAAGAGAACGAATGCACAGATACCAAGAAAAAAGCCAAAGAGGACAGAGAATCAAATTCCTTTTTCTGCTAAGAGTAACATACATAATGAAGGCACCATAGGCCCATTAAGCTACAGATGAAAAGTACCCAACTGACAAAACAACAGAAGGAAAAAGAACACATCAATTACCATAGGGAGCCTAGCTAACAGTTTAACCAAGAGACAAAGATGTTTTTCAAGACTATTTACAAATTTAAGAAACAATTTATTATTTTTTAAAACCATTGTCAACTCCCAGAACACAGTGCTGTTTGAAGCTTCTGGAAAATCACTAACAAGGCAAGATACTGGTTGCTGACTAGGCTACCCTTGTAGTCATCATTAGTCTCTTTTGCTTCCGGGGGCATGGATAAAATCTAAGTCAAAAAAAAAAAAAAGGAGGAAGTATGAAGGTTACAATAAATGAATGCTGACTGAAAGAAGAGAGATGAAAAGATTTATTAACACATCATCCATACTATCCACATTCACACAGATCAAACATTTCAGGAGAAAATGTGCCTTTTTTAGTAGACAGTTCTACTGTTAGCCCACATCTCCATCCTATCTACAATTCCCATCAAACTGGTTGCAAAGCCTTTAAAACATCCAAGAGAGATGTGGACGGTTTTAACAGCGTACGAGAACATAGTGAATGTAGTAAGTTGTGTAAAGCTCTAAATGGATGTAACTAAAGGTAAGCCTTTCTCAGTTAATAAGGGCAGAACCTTCTTCCTGCAGTCACTGATCTTTACACTTTAACCACTGTGGTCAAGTACAACACCGGAGGTGGATAGGCTTGAATGACTTAAGCCTCTATGGCTGGAAAGAATGTTTGGCTGCTATGCTTTGCTAAATTTGGGGCTGAAGAAGTGGGGAAGAAACTGCTGGAGACAGCAGTTATTTGTCACCATTCACAGTTCTACATATATATCAAGCACCACGTTTAACTTGCCCCCACTTTCCACCTCTTTTGCCTAGTGACCTCCATTCACTGTCTACTTCTCAGCTAACTTACACGTCACTTCTTCTAAGTGGTCTTTCTGGATCCCCGTACTAGTCCCTAGCATCGTCTACTGCCATATTATAACAGCTGTCATATGTCATTGAAATTGCTTGATTCATGCCTATCTTCCTCTGTAGGCTATAGGTCTGTAAGGGCAAAAGCTGTTTCAGTCTCATTCACAGCTGAATCCTTCATGCCAAGCTCATTGCCTGACAAAATAAATGCTTAATAAATGTTCAGTGAATGAATCAATCAATACGCAAATGAGGAGAGGTGTGGCCTACCTTCAGGTAGAACCGGTAGTCAAACTAGATTTATATACAGAAACTAGAAGAGTGAACACACACAGTACCCCTGTGATAGTGATGATTTTGTTAAACATATTATAGAATTTAAAAAAAAAAAGCTTAGAGAAAATAAGTAACTTGTTCCAAAGAAAGAAAAGTAAGCAAATTAGCTACCTTGTCCTATGGATCCTGAGTCTCAAGTCTGATTTGAGGGACCGAGATTATTGGTCTACTTGCTATTTAAACAGGAATGGCTGAGGAATGAAGAGGCTGAATACCAGTAAATATCTGTAGAGACTTCCAAAGTCTGAGAGTTGGTGAATAGCCAAATTTAAGAGCTGCTTTTAAATTATATCTAACAATAGGGCTTTTTACACAGCAGTGTGATATGGTAGAAAAAATACAGAGTTTGGAGCCAAAGACTTATATTTCACCCCAGTTCTATAACTTACTATTTGTAGAATCACCTTGATAAGGCTTGTAACAATTCTGAGATCCACAAAATTCATAAAGAGAAAAGAAAGCATCATTTTGCAATGTTATTTTGAAGAGTAATCGACAAGCAGTGCCTAGCACCATGTCTTACAGTATACATTTGATAATTTAATAAATATATGACTATAAACTTTAAATCAATATGAAAATATCAATGATTCAATAGTAAAATAGGTAAAAGGATATGAACAGACAATTCTCTTGGAAGATACACAAGAAATTGTTGACTGTGTCTGCCTCTGGAGAAGGGAATGCAGCATCTGGGAGAATACTTGGAATAGAATCAAATAGAATAGAATGGAAATATTTCTCACAACTTCAAAACCTGGAGCTTCACTTACTCTTTCCTCATTCCTGACAGAGTAGGAGCTTTATAATCATTGAATTAAAATTGAATAGCCAGGCTCAAACAGAGGTTAGGATTAAATCCTGACCTAGGAAGGCGTGCATCTTTTTAACTTGTTTCATAACTGTTAGTCAAGCTGAGGAGATGCTTCTCTGAAGAAAGGCAGACTATCTTAAGAAACTTCAGGTCAAACTTCTTCTAGCACCTACCATGTGCGAGGTTCTTTTCCAGGCTTGTTGGAAGATCACAGAGGGACAGTGAGCAAACAGGAAATACAAGGGCATAAAATATCTGCAATCTCCCTAAGCAACTAATACTTTTCTATGGTATTAGAAAATCCATTTCACCGGGATGAACTGCTTTTCTTTTCTGAAAATACCTTAACTTTCCTAGTGTTGCTCCTGTCAGTACTACCTAAAGTGTAATGTGAATCACTACTCATTTTCTGTATATTTGTTGGAACTGAGAAATGGAAGTCAATTGATGCATATACAACGAATTGAATATGTTAAGATTTTCTTTCTGGAGATAATCAGGTTCAAAAGCAGAAACCAAATTATACTCAATCTTCTCATTTGATATATTTTTATTTTCATTTATTGGAAGAAAAACTTGATTATCATTGCTCCCTTAATAAGAGTATTCTGCATTTTATTTTAAAATAAAATGTAAGCCTTTTATTGAATTTTGAAAAACCAAGTGTGGGCAATGCTGCCATTGTTAGATGAAGAAATTCAAGAAGAGGTAAGCCACACAAAATGTGCAGCCTCCATGCATCACTCAGGTAGCCTAGTCAGGACCTTCATCTTTAGAGGCAAGTCATTACCAAGGACCACTCACTCTTCCCTGGGTTGGGTCCAGCTTTCTACCAATGAGCTATAGGCTTTATCTTTTCATTTCTAAAACTCATCTGTAAATCCAAGCCTCCAAAATAAAATTGTATATGACAGTTGACAACCTATGTGAAAAGTATATGTACCACAAGATAAACACCTAAAAATTTCACTTCTATAATCGATTACTTGAAAAGCCTTTAATTTTCCTGCAACCAAAACCTTCAGAATATCATGACAGACTTGATAGATTTTACAATTCTTCACTGGAGACGGTACAATCACTAACTATTATTTGAGTGTTCATCTGTGCAATTAAAAAGTACTGGCTTCATGAAAAACCAGAGTATTGAGATGTTTCAGTACATGTTTACATGTTTTACGGTATTATTACTTGTTAATAATTAATGTTAATTACATGTAAATAATCATTACTCAGGTTTTAAATGAGGAAAGAGTAACTGAAGTTCCAGGTTTTTACATGTTTTGCAGTATTATTACATGTTTGAGTAATCAAATGTACTCCAATTAATACTAAAATGCTGATTGGCATATGAATCCTCTAACCTAGAAAACTTAGATGGAAATATTCCAAGTGGGTGTTCATGTGTAACTTGAACTACTCTCTTTTTCATGGGGAGTCAGGAAAGAAGTGCACAAGTCAATGTCTGCAATTGAATCACAGTAAGACATTTGAAATAACAGACTATTTGGGTTATAAATGGCCTCTGAAACCACTTGGCCTAACTCATTTTACCTAGGGAGAAACTGAGGCCTGAAGGAGGAAAGGCATTTTCACTTACCTATTTAGTAGTCAGTGGTAGAGGTGTGGGTAGGATCTGGTTTTCCTGATTTCCAATCCAATGTCCATTATATCATAGGGCTTATGTCCAAAATTATGATAATGCAAAGGTCATATGACAGCAGGCCAAACTAAAACAGGAAAGAAAGGAAATAAGAATGTAGAAAAAGGGGCCAAAAAGGCATTTTATGATTTACTGTGGAATGAATATTGGCATCTTGGTCTTTCTGGCAGGGGTTCTTTGCTGGTTTACATATTTTTAAAAATAGATCACACATTTATAAGAACATATAAAACACGTATGTACAATTTGGAAGGGCCAGCAAATTGCAACTCATTGGCCAAATCAAGCCTGATTTTAGCCCAGTCTTTTAAAGTTTTATTGGAAAACAATCACATCAAGTAGTCTACAGTACTTATAGCTGCTTTTGTGCTACATGGTAGGGTTAATTTTGACAGGGATCTTATAGACTGCAAAGCTGCTAATATTTGCTATCTGATCCTTTACCAAAAGTTTGCTGACCCCTAGTTTCAAGAATACTAATACTAATAAAATATACCCAAACTAATACTACTAATAAAATGAACTCTTAAGTACCCACACCCAGATGAAGAAAATAGGACCCTACCAATACTTTAAAAGATCTGTTAGCTCCTCTCCTATCACATCTTCCTTCCTCCGCTCATACATTGCTTTGTTTTGAAAAACCAAGTGTGGGCAATGCTGCCATTGTTAGATGAAGAAATTCAAGAAGAGGTAAGCCACACAAAATGTAACTTTGACTTCAGTGAGAGTTTATAAGAGCCCTTTCCAGGGTAATAATGAGCAAGGTTATGAGACCTGGAAAACAAAAGGCTCACTATACTTGGGATATCTGGCAGGGCTGTAATCAGGGAAGTAGGCTGTTCTATAGTTTTTGTTTCTAAGTTTCTCCTGGAGAGAAAGAATACCTCCATGAGATGAAATTGTGTCATAGGCTCAACAGGCAGAAGGATCTAGAAAGCAGAATAGGAAGTTCACCAGAAAATAAGCCAAGGGCAGGTAAGAATTTGGGCTGGGCTCACCTGAGCACTGTGTCCTCAGGTTAAAGAAGAAGGTACAATGGTGGCATCATGTCTTGAGTCACATTACTACAATGTGGGCTGGTTACATCTGGAGCACAGCTGCCATTCTGGGGATCTGCTCCCCATCCTTCTAGGATTTTCTTTGCCCTTTGCTAGTGTCCCCCGTTTGCTCTATTTCATATTTTCTTGTTTTTTTCTCTCTTTTCATGGAGAACAGCCTCTAATAGTTAAGAAAAGTTGAAGTTGAGAAAGGTTATGTGGGAGGTGAAATCTTTAGCAACCTAGAATTTCTGAAACATTTATATTCTATCAAATATCTAACGGGTGATTTAATTGATATAGAATTTAGGTTGGAAACTACTGACACCAAACATATACAGCCACATGCACTATTAATTCCACCACTAACTTGATCAGAAATATGAAAATTGATGGAAGCAAACAAGTTACATGGAACAAAAGCAGATGCGGCCTAACTTAGCACAACTCTTCTCCCCAGGCCATGCAGAGCAGAAGCTGATGACAATTCTCCACACAGGTAGCAGAGAAGCACAGTTGAGAAAACTGGCTTTTTCCTTTCTCCTGCCCTTTCATATTCCAGAATAGCAAAATAACTTATACAAAAGATCTATGATACATTATTTAAGAATGATTAGAAACACGAAGCTCTGTTTTAATTTTTGCACCAAATTTAGCAGCTGCCATGCCATGCACCATTAGTAATGTGATTCAATGCAGTTAAGCATACATAAATGACAACTCTTTGTATATGTGATTACACTAGTTTGCTGGGCCTGCCATAACAAAGTAGCACAGGTTATTTGGCTCAAACAAACTGAATTGATTTTCTCAAAATTCTGGAAGCTAGAAGCCCGAGACCAAGGTGTTGGCAGTGTTGGTTTCTTCAAGGCCTCTCTGTCTTGCAGATGGTTGCATTCTCCCTGTATATTCACATGGTCATACCCCTCTGTTGGTGTCTGTATCCTAAATCTCCTTGTTTTATAAGAATAACAGTCACTTTGGATTGGGGCCCACCCTAATGACCTAACTTTACCTTAATCACCTCTTTAAAGATACCATCTCCAAATTCAGTCATATTCTGAGTTGCTGGGGGTTAGGTCTTCAACATATGAATTTGAGGAGGGGGCCAGGCATAGTGGCTCACATCTGTAATCCCAGCACTTTGGGAGGCCAAGACAGGCAGATCTCTTGAGCCTAGGAGTTCAAGACCAACCTGGGTAACATGGCAGAACCCGTCTCTACTAAAAATACAAAAAAGAAAAAAAAAAGCTGGTTGTGGAGTTGTACACCTGTAGTCACAGCTACTTGGGAGGCTGAGATGGTAGAAACACCTGAGCCCAGGAGGCCCAGGTTGTGGTGAGGCAATATCACACCATTGCACTCTAGCCTGAGCAGTAGAGTAAGACCCTGACTTTAAAGAAAAAAGAACTTGGGAAGGGGACACGATTGAGCCTACAACGACTGAATTTGATTGTTTTCCTTTGTAAAGAATTTTCATGAAGGAAATGCAGTATGTGAGATTTTACTTTATGTGATACACCATGAGCTCTTCTTCATTCATAGCCTCATCTGCATTTTCTGCCTTTTTTGAGTTATATTCCATTTTTTTTCACGGATTATTTTCATAGGTGCCTTGTGCTTTTGTCTTACAAACAGTGATAACCTGAGGTAGCAAACAAATCAACTTTGCAGCTATAGCATTTAGTTATCTGTGTAGGTATGTACTTTGAACGTATCTAAGTTCACATTCACATTACTTAGCACAATTCTTCAATAGTATTTGAAAGTCACTACAAATATGAAAAAATTTAAAAGTGATGTATTTACTGTATAAATTTAATTATTGTAAGATGGAACTTAAAGCATTATGAATTTTCAATTTCTCATAACTATAACAAAGGTGTAAAAAGAATATAATGCTCTACAATGACATTTAAATTGACCATACTTCACAAACTAAGGTCATGCTAATTCTAGATTGTTCTTGTACAACTTCTAACAAAATTTTAATCGTGACTGACAATAACAGTTCATTTATCAAGAGGATGTCCCTCTTTCATGCACCTTCATCTTATAGGAAATTCATGTTTATTTGTGTAGAAGAATCCAGTCAGTTTATTTTTCTTAATAATGTGTTTTTAAAATGTTAATCTATGAAAATTTCATTTTTATTACTACCTCAGAGCTATCTATATCAAGCTGATTAAATAGCTTTGTCCCTGGACAATGGGAATTGAAAGATTATACACATACACACATTGATATGTTTTGATCCTCTGGGAAAAGTACTGAATCTCATTTCAAATAGATGATGGTACAGCAAAGGGGCTTTCAAAATATATAATCAACCGAACCAAGTAACTTATGTCAGGTCTTTGGTGGTAAAATGTCATTTCTGAACTGCAGCATGATAATAGTCCCACTAGTTACATAGGTAGACTACCCTATCCCACAGGCATGAAATTAAAGTGATGATGGATATTATCTCCAAAAAACACAGGTTCACTAAGAGCAAGCAACTGAACTATTAATAAATTCTAACTCCACCACTACTCCAGGCAAATTCCTTTGCATCCCTCTCTGCCTCAGCTACTTTAATTGTAAGAATTAACTGTCTCTAAATACCTAAGGAAATTGGTGATGTCTCAATAAAACCAGGCAGTATGAGTGAGTGAGCATTCTCAATAGATATGTCATGTCAAAATGTGATAACAAGTCATTTTTATTGTTACTCTGAATATGGATGGTTCATGTTTCAGTTACTTAGTCAATGTGGCCAGAGGATCTGGAAGCCACATTATTTACTGTATAAATACTATTTCTAGTATTCAAATCTAGAAATAGGTCATGTGGTCTGGTCACAGTGAGAAGGAAAAATGCTAATTTCTTGAACACTGGTAAATGAGAGTGGCATGTATACGCTAGGCAACTTACTTTCTGGTTCTATGTTCAAATGCAGTAAATTTCAGTATATTTGACTAGCTCAATAATTTATAAGAATAAAAAAATATAAACACGGACTAATGACAAATCCATTACATTTCTAAGAAACCTTGGTGTAATGCAGAGGCAGAGGAAAAACAAGTTCTTTGGGCAAGTATCTCAGTACCTGCAAACCACATTTCACTGCACAGGAAGTTCATGTGATAAGTGAACCCTCAAGGGGACACAAAACAACCAACTTACCCATTTTATCCTATCCGAAATAAGTTTGACAAAAATAGTGACCGAGTTCCAAGTTTTCCCTCAACACCACAGAAGGAATATTTATCCCCTACTAAAAAAAGTGAGACAATATTATTTTCCATCCCATAATGACTACATATCCCTGAATTTTCACTGGCTTATTTGGTGGGAGTGGTAATTGTCCCTTGTCCTTGTCATCTATCCAGTCTACAGCTAGGAATTAATGGCCTGTCATCTCAGCTCAAACAGGGCCAATGGTCCTCCCTGTTAACTTGGCCTCACTTTAGTTCTCATCAGCATAGCTTCCTACCCAGAGAGTTAGCTACATCTCTTACTGCGTCCTATGCCCAGTCTGTCCTGCAGTCTTCAACTATAGGATCACTTTATCCTATTGTCGTGAAGACAGAGCAGGGATGGGACTTGACCCCTGTAGCCCACCAAGGACCTCTATTGCAAGTTGGTGGCAGGCATGGCCAGCAGCGACCCCAAAGAGACCATCAAGACCTTGCACTGGAAATCTTACTCAAGATGCCTACCATTGATTCCAGGACCTTAAGGAAACTAATAAGCAGCTCCCACCATAAATCTTACTCAAGGGGGTTTAATCCTATCTCCCAGCTGTGTACAAGACCAGAAGAACAACTGAACTTCCACCATAGTTTCATTATAATACTCAACACTCACATGCAAAGGTGGACACTTAATATTTAATATGCTAATAAGACATGCAACAAATGAAGCATGTTATCAAACTGCACAGGTGCCAGAAGTTCCCGACTTCTACATGCTTAAATGTCACTCCTTGCCGACTTTAGCCCCTTTAAAATTACCATCCTGACTCTCTTCTTGGAATCAGCCAGAAAACTGTTGTGCTGCCTCCCTTGTGTTCAAACATAAGCCCCTAATAAAAGCCTTGTCTGGGAAACCTGCTCAACCTCGTGTCAATTTTTATTACATGAGAGCCTAAGCACCTGTTGTCAGTAACATTGTGTCACCCCTCACAAGTTCACCATCAAATACTGTCAGTTATATTTCACATTCCTACTCAGGACATTTGAGGACCTCTGCATGCTTTTTCTGTGACATGGAAGACTGGGAAACCCTGAAGAACCGATCTTAGTCCCTCTCTGCCTAACCACGCTATTCTACTCATTTTATGCTGATGTGGCAGCTCCATGTGGCTATGTGAGTCCCTTATAAGACCACCAAGATTTGAGAGGCCCAGCTGACCATTTTCCTGTTTAGGCTTTCTTCTCAACCCCAGGCTGAAGACATGAATGTGAAACACAGGTGTCTCACCATCTGATTCCCATACCTCTGATCTCTTTTTCTCAATTCACAAGAGACTAGAAGGGGTGAGTGTACCTCTTAGAGGTCTTAGCTGGAAGCAATAGGAACCAGTTTTACCTAATTTAAACAGAAAATAAATTTATTCCTGGAAACTGGTTAGCTCACAGATTCCAGGAGGGCTGAAGAACCATGCAGAGAGGCATCAGAGCTACACCACAGAAGTACTGGAAGACATTACTGCCACCACTGCTGGATCTAGACATCACTGGTGCTGGACAACTGATGAGGCTGCCAGCACACCCATTCTGTGCTTGCCAGAATGGATTTTTCAGTCTTTTCTTTGTATCAATTTTCCACGTAAGGCCTGAGATAGGGGTTTCTGACTAGATAGGCTTAACTGCAAAGTAGCCTGGGGAAGCAAATATCTGGCATTTTCAAGATTCTCTAGTGAAAAACCTCATGCAGCAAGCACTGCACCAAACTCAGGAGGATTTAGATGCTGGGCTGCAAAAAACATGACAACTTTCCATTACAGTGTGGACTTTCTAATTTCTCTACCTTGCTAACCATTTTCCTTTGTAAGTGGTATAATGTCTAGGTGATATAATGGGGTGATATGGCTTGGTTGTGTCCTCACCCAAATCTGATCTTGAATTGTAGCTCCTATAATCCCCACATGTTGTAGGGGGGACCCAGTGGGAGGTAATTGAATCACAGGGGCACGTTTTCTCCTGCTTTTCTCATGATAGTGAATAAATATGAGAGCTGATGCTTTTAAAAAGGGAAGTTCCGCTGCACATGCTCTCTTGCCTGCAGCCATAGAAGACATGCCTTTGCTCCTCTGCCTTCCACCATGATTGTGAGGCCTCCTCAGCCACGCTGAACTGTGGGTCAATTAAGCCTCTTTCCCTTATAAGTTACGCAGTCTCAGATATGTCTTTATTAGCAACATGAGAATGAACTAATACAATAAATTGCTACTGGTAGAATGGGGTGCTGCTGTAAAGATACCCAAAAATGTGGAAGCGACTTTGGAACTGGGTAACAGGAAGAGGTTGCAACAGTTTGGAGGGCTCAGAAGAAGATAGAAAAATGTGGTAAAGTTTGGAATTTCTAGAGACTTGGAGGGCCCAGAAGATGACAGGAAGATGTGGGGAAGTTTGGAACTTGCTAGAGACTTGTTGAATGGTTTTGACCAAAATGCTTATAGTGATATGGACAATAAGGTCCAGACTGATGTGGTCTCAGATGGAGATGAGGAACTTTTTGGAATCTGAAATAAAGATCACTCCTGCTATGCAAAAAGACTGGTGTCATTTTGCCCCTGCCCTAGAAATCTGTGGAGCTTTGAACTTAAGAGAGATGATTTAGGGTATCTGAAGGAAGAAATTTCTAAGCAGCCAAGCGTTCAAGAAGAAGAGCATAAACGTTTGGAAAACTTGCAGCCTGACAATATAATAGAAAAGAAAAACCCATTTTCTGGGGAGAAATTCAAGCCAGCTGCAGAAATTTAAGTAATGAGGAACCAAATATTAATCACAAAGACAATGGGGAATATGCCTCCAGGGTACATCAGAGGTCTTCACAGCAGCCCCTCCCCATCAGAGGCCATGACGGATAGGAAGAAAAAATGGTTTCATGGGCCACGCCCAGGGTGCTCCTTGCTGTGTGCAGCCTTGGGACTTGGCACCCTGCATCCCACAGCTGCTCCCGCTGTGGCTAAAAGGGGCCAGTGTACAGCTCAGGCTGTTGTTTCAGAGGGTGCAAGCCCCAAGCCTTGGCAGCTTCCACATGGTGTTGGGCCTGTGGGTGCACAGAAGTCAAGAATTGAAGTTTGGGAACCTCCACCTAGATTCTAGAGGATGTGTGGAAACACCTGTATGTCCAAGGCAGAGGTGCGCTGCAGGGGCAGAGCTCTCATGGACAGCCTCGGCTAGGACAGTGCAGAAGGGAAACGTGGGGGTGGGAGCACCACACAGTGTCCCCACTGGAGCACTGACTAGTGGAGTTGTGAGAAGAGGGCCGCCGTCCTCCAGACCTAGAATGATAGACCCACCAAGAGCTTGCACCATGAGCCGCAGACAATGCCAGCCCATGAAAGCAGCCACGAGGGGGGCTGTACCCTGCAAAGTCACAGGGGTGGAACTACCCAAGGCCATGGGAACTCACCTCTTGCATCAGTGTGACCTGGGTGTGAGACATGAAGTCAAAGGAGATAATTTTGGAGCTTCAAGATTTGATTGCTCCACTGGATTTTAGACTTGCATGGGGCCTGTAGCCCCTCCATTTTGGCCAATTTCTCCCATTTGGAATGGGCGTACTTACCCAATGCCTATACTCTGGTATCTAGGAAGTGATTAACTTGCTTTTGATTTTACAGTCTCATAGGCAGAAGGGACTTGCCTTATTTTAGATGAGACTTTGGACTATGGACTTCTGAGTTAATGCTGAAATCAGTTAAGACTGGGAGACTGTTGGGAATGCATGATTGGTTTTGAAATGTGAAGACATGAGATTTGGGAGGGGCCAGGGAATGATACGGTTTGGCTGTGTCCCTACCCAAATCTTATTTTGAATTGTAGCTCCCATAATCCCCGCATGTTGTGGGAGGGACCTGATAGGAGGTAACTGAATCATGGGGGAAGGTTTTCCCATGCTATTGTCATGATAGTGCATAAGTCTCACAAGATCTGATGGTTTTATAAAGGGCAGTTCCCCTGCACATGCTCCCTTGCCTGTCACTATGTAAGACATGCCTTTGTTCTTCCTTCACCTTCCACCATGATTGTGAGGCATCCCCAGCCATGCTCAACTGTGAGTCAATGAATCTTCTTTCCTTTATAAATTACCCAGTCTCGGGTATGTCTTGATTAGCAGTGTGAAAACAGACTAATACATGGGGGAAGCAGTTCTCCACCTTCCTCAGGTGCTATAATGGAGTAATGGTTACTGGTAACATGATTTTGAGATAGAGGAGGGGGAGATGTAAAAGATTAATGTTTTTAACACATCTCCATTAAACTGGAAAATTAAGTAAAATCACTTACATACAGCTTTAATGTCGAGCAGTTTTGTATCCCAAGCCGTGCACATTATACATAATAGACTATTTTATGATTCAGAGTTTGGATTTGTTTTAGAAATCTTAATTCAAATGCT
Source organism: Homo sapiens (assembly GCF_000001405.40). Lineage (NCBI taxonomy): Eukaryota > Metazoa > Chordata > Mammalia > Primates > Hominidae > Homo > Homo sapiens. The sequence goes on from NC_000023.11 coordinate 147,638,521, forward strand.
TATGTAAAACATATACAATTCAGCAACCCAGACTTCAATTCTTTAAAATTAGCAATGATATTTCACCATAGGTTTATAAATCAAGTAAGTATTTTTAGTTTTGGAGGTTGGAGTCCATGTTTAGAAACAATGCCTGACTAACTATATTTTGTTTGTTTTTGCACATGATATTTTGTCTTTGTTTAAATCACAATAACAAGCTGGCATGTGATTGTTAGGATCGTGGAAATTTTCTATATTTATCCACAATTTCAGCTGCATCGACTCAAAGAACTGAATGTGAGAGGGCAAAGATGACTCCTGTGCAGAATGCCTTTGGGGATAATCAAGACACAGAAACATTTCCATATGCAAATAAACTCTTCCGTAAAACTTCTTGCATGAGAACAGTAGAAAACCCCCACTAGTAAACAGGAACTCTTTCAAAGTATTATCCATGAGGAAGCATAGGTATGCTCCTGAGCCTCAGAACAATATTGATGCATACCGTAAGTGACAAGATTTTTTATTTAAAGCACATAATATCTGCATGGTTCCAAAGACCCAGGGGTAGATTATGAAAAATTATGAAATGTGAAGACGTTTTATTACAAATCTGGGCATGGATTAAAAATTTGTCAACTGATAACGTCAACCTCATCTCATTGTTTTTCAAAATTGTGTTGCCCAAAAGATAGGATTACTGCGGATGACATGCCATTTATCTTACTCCAAGCAACAGTGGCACTGTAGGTAACAAAACAAAACTAAAACAAATATCTTGACTATAAACATTACTTGGGGAAATTTGATTCTTAAGAGTAAACAGGAAAGAGGATGATTTAAAAATATATTAAAATTCTACAGTAATGAAACCAGTATGGTACTGGTATAAAACAGACGTAGTCCAAAAAAACAGAAGAGAGCCCAGAAATATACTCTCCTATATATGGTCACATGATCATTGACAGGGATGCCAAAGCTACACAGTAAGGAAAGGATAGTCTCCTTCAAAAAATTATGTTAGGAAAATTGGCTACGTACATGCAAAAGAATGAATTTGGACTCTTAGCTTATACCATATACAAAAGTTAACACAAAATAGCTTAAATATCTAAATTTAAGACTTAAAACTGTAAAATTCCTACAAGTATAGAAGTAGGGAATAACCAGAATTTAAAAGTATAGTGGTTAAAAATGGTTATTTCTAGAAAGTATGTCTGAAAATAGAGATGTTTGAAGCAGGCAGATATTGCATTTCATTAAAAACCTGCGTTGTCTCATACTTTTAATCTCATTTTTGTGTTACTTCGATAAAAATTAAAATAGAACATCCTAACCATCCCCCACACTGATCTCAGTGAAACGAAGGCAGAAAGTACAAGCTTATATGGATAAAGAGAAAATATCTACCAGTCACAAAGAGAGACTGTTTACCCTATAAGATTTCCTAGTCAAAACTGTCTCCTTTGTTCTAGGTTGACAATATATTTTGCTAAAGCAATCAAGACTCAGCCTCTTCAACAGGAAAAGCAATGTCTAGTCCTGATAAAGAGACGATCTTTATCAGTATATATGGGTCAGAAACTATTCCATATCCGTTCATACAGATTAACATAATGTTTTAGCTCCTGCACAGATTCCGCAGTTTGAAGTTTCTATAATTAAACTATTCGCCTTTTGACTGAAAAAAGAAATAGCAAGTGTTCAAGAGGATGTGTAGAAATTGGAACCCTTGTACATTGCTGGTGGGAATGTAAAATAGTAGAGCCCCTATGGAAAATACTATGAAGATTCCTTAAATATTTTTTAAAGTACAACCATATGATCTATAAATCTCACATCTGGGAATATAACCAAAGTAATTGAAAACAGGTCTCAAGGAGATATTTACACACCCATATTCATGATAGTATTATTCACAATAGCCAACAGACAGAAGCAACCCAAGTATCCATTCATATATGAATGCATACAGAAAATGTGGCACATACATACATTGGCATATTATTCATACTTAAAAGAGGAAATACTATCATATAACAAAATGGGTGAACCTTGAGGACATTATAGTAAATGCAGTTAGTATAATGTATTATACATTCACAAATGCATTATAATGCATCATTGTAATTCCATAATACATAGTATAATGCATTATACTATTTGCATCCTACTAATACAGTATAATGCATTATATAGTCACAAAGAAAGACTACATGATTTCAGTTACAGGTATTTAAAGTAGTCTCTCTCTTAGAACAGGTAGTAGAGTGGTGATTTCCAGGGACTAAGGCAAAGTGGAAAAGAAAAGTTGTCATTCAATGGAAAGAGCTTCCATTTGAGTCTCCCTTATAGAGTTCCTGTTTCGCAAGAGGAAAAAAGTTCTAGAGATGTGATACGTAACAAGGTACATACTGTTAATACTACAGTACTGTATATGTAAAAATTGTTAAAGTCTTACAAACAGGAAGGGGGAGAATAAGCAGGAAGAATCAACAGGAATGGTAAAATAAGAACAATTTAAGCAAGTGGGAAAAAAGTCATAAAAATTAAAGTAAAATTGTAAATAAGAATAGGTAAATGGACCAACTACTACATACATCCAAAAGAATGTTATTCAGCAATAAAAAATGATCTGACAAGCCATAAAAAGGCATGGATGAACTTTAAACACATATGGTTATGTGAAAGAAGCCCATCTGAAAAGGCTACATACTGCATGATTACCATGTATGACATTTTGGGCAAAGCAAAACTATGAAGACAGCAAGAAAAATCAGGAGTTTCCAAATATGGCATGGGTTGAGGGATGGAGAATAAGATAGGTGAGGAACGAGGAATTTTCTAGAGCAGTGAAACTATTATTTATGATACTGTAATGGTGGATACACGACAGTAGACATTTGCCAAAACCCACAGACCTTTACAGTAGAAAGGGTGAACATTAATGTATGGAATTTTAAAAAATGATTCAGAATCTAGGAGGATCCCAGAAAATATGGACTATAACAAGAGAATCTAATTGTATTCCAAATGCATGAAATGAGTTTGCTGAATGGTATAAAGTGCTGACCTAAATGACTTTGGAAATGAGTTGAGTCTGTAACACTAAAGGCAAAAGGAACTATACATGTATTGTAACTGATAAAAAATGTTTCCCACATGAGTACAGGGGAATGGAGTAACAATTCTGGTACCATTATACATGTATACTGGAATTGAACAATTAAGTAAATGGATGGTGGATAGTGCGGGCCAGATTTCTTACCATTGGAGTGGGAGTTTATAAAATAAGGGGAATAGCCTAGAATGACGCATGTGTAATGGATTAAAGTTGGAGGTATTACTATGAACTCATGTTTAGCTTTATATAGATACAAATGGTTACATACAGAAATATTTATAGGTATGTGTATATATATGAGTTAGTATATAAACATATATTTCCTTGCTCTACCAGCTGAGAGGACCTAAAAGCAATGACTTCCCGGTAGCAATGAACACAACTAGCACACAAATCTTCATTTCTAATACCATTCTCTGATAAGAGGAACTAGGCTCCTTGGAGATATTCTGTATGATAATCAATTTTAGGACAGGGGCAAGAGCATTCTAGGATGAGCTGGAAGCATCTTGTAGTGCCAAAAGTAAAGTCCTCACTTAAAAAAATACCCACATTAATAGGAGTAATTCAAAGAGACACAAGAAATCATTGAAACAGCTCCCGGTAGCCAAAGCTGGGAAATTTTGAGCAAAAATAAAATTAGATTATAATGCAAAGTATAAATCATAATGTGCTTATACTGATATACATGAAAGACTGAACTGATATACATGAAAGACTGAATAAATCATTAGGGTAAAGAGAAAAATATTCCATACAGAAGAATACCAGATTATGTAGATACTCCATTCTCAAGGTTTTAGAACATTTCATTCCTTCAGTGTGAGCTGTGTATAGTGACTTCCTTCCTAAGAGTATAATATACAATTTTAAAAACTAAAGATGAGTAGAACTACAAGGAGAAACCTACCAAACACTACTCTAATCCCGGTGATCAAGGCAACATCAGTAGTAATACATCATGTTGATATTATGCACTCTTGATATAATGTGACAAGAATGGTACTTTACATCCATCATCCCCCTCCCCAAAACCTGTAACCCGAGTCTAATCATGAGAAACACATCATACAAATATCAATTGAAGGACATTTGACAAAACACCTGACCAGTACTTCTCAAAACTTTCAAGTTCATCAAAATCAAAGTTTGACAAACTGTCCCAGCCAAGAGGAACCTTGACAACTGAATGTAATGTGGTGTCCTGGATGGGATCCTGGAACAGAAAAAGCGTATTAGGTAAACATTGATACAATGTAAAGAAAGTGTGGTCTTAAATGTTAATAACAGAAACTTGGAGGAGTGAATATAGGAACTTTCTGTTATCTTTGCAAGTTTTTAATAAATCTAAAACCGTCTTTAAAAATAAAGTTTAGTTTTAACGTGAACAGCCTCACACTGTATTAAAAAATATTCAATCAATGAAGTAAATGTCAAGAGCTAAAAAATAAAAGTTAGAAAACTATAAGAACTATGAAACAGATGACATCAAAGCAAGAAACCAAATAAAAATAGATATATTGGACTTAATATTTAAACATTTTATTCTTCAAAGGACACTATCAAGAAAGGGAAAGTCAACCCAAAAATTAGGAGAAAGTAATTTCAAACCATATATAATGATCCAATATCCAGAGTATCTAGGAGTACCTCTTGCAACTCAACAATAAAACGACAAATAACCCAATTAAAAATGAGCCAATGTTGGGATCAGATGCCAACATTATTGCCAAAAAAGGAGCCCCTCACAAGACCAGCAAAAATTTTAATATATATTTCTCCAAAGATGATATACAAAATGACCAATAAGCCCATGAAGAGATATTAAACATCATTAATCATTAAAGAAATGCAAATCAAAATAATCTTGAGAATTTGGTTTATATCCACTGGCATGGTCATAATTAAAAGACAGGCAATGAAAGGTAAGGATGCTACCTTGGTAAGTATGTGGAGAAATTGGTACTCTCATATATTGCTGGTGAGAATGTAAAATTATCCAGCCTCTTTGGAAAATGGGCTGGAAAATGGAAAAGTTGACTTTTTTAAGCTATATAATCTAGCAATTCTACTCCTAGGTTGATATGGTTTGGATTTGTGTCCCTGAACAAAACTCATGTTGAATTGTAATCCCCTATATTGGTGGAGGGGCCTGGTGGGAAGTGATTGGATCTTGTGGGCTGATTTCTCCCTTGCTTTTCTCGTGATAGTGAGTTCTCATGATATCTGGTTCTTTAGAAGTGTGTAGTACCCCCACCCCTCTTCACTCTCTTTCCCCTGCTCCAGCCATGTAGGACATGCCTGCTTCTCTTTCCACCTTCCACCAATGATTGTTCCTGAGGCCTCCCCAGACATGCTTCCTGTACACCTTGTGGAACCATGAGCCAATTAAACCTCTATTCTTTATAAGTTACCCATTGTCTGGTAGTTCTTTATGGCAATGCAAGAACAGATTAATACAGAAAATTGGTACTGGGAAGGGAGGCATTGCTATAAAGATAACTGAAAATGTGGAAGCAGTTTTGGAACCAGGTAATGGGCAGAGGTTAGAACAGGTTGGAGGACTCAGAAGAAGACAGGAAGATGTGGGAAAGTTTGGAACCTCCTAGAGACTTGTTAATTTGTTGTGACCAAAATGCCCATAAGGGATATGGACAATGAAGTCCAAGCTGGAGTGGTCTTAGATGGAGATGAGGAACTTATTGGAAACTGGAGTGAAGGTCACTTTTGTTATGCATTAGCAAAGAGGTTGGCGGCATCTTGTAGTGCCAAAAAGGAAGGAAGAGATCTGTGAAACTTTGAACTTCAGAGAGATGACTTAGGGTAACTGGCAGAAGAAATTTCTAAGTAGCAAAGCATTCAACATGTGGCCCGGCTTCTTCAAACAGTATATACTCATATGCATGAGCAAAGAGATTATGTGAAAATAGAACATATTTAAAAGGGAAGCACAGTGTAAAACTTTGGAAAATTTTCAGCCTGCCCATGTGGTAGAAAAGAAAAACCCATTCTCTTGGGAAGAATTCAAGTAGGCTCCAGAAATCTACATAACTAAGTCAAATGTTGAAAGCCAAGATAATGGGGAGAATGCCTTGAAGACATTTCAGACACTTTCATGACATCCCCTCCCCTAACTGGCCTAGAGGCCTAGGAGGGAAAAATGGTTTTGTGGGCCAGGCCCAGGGCCCCTCTGCTCTGTGCAGCCTCAAGACATGGTACCCTGCATCATGGCTGCTCCAGCTCCAGCAGCGGCCAAAAGGGGCCAAGGTACAGCTCAGACCATAGCTTCAGAGGGTGCAAATACTTACGGCCAACTGATCTTTGACAAAGCAAACAAAAACAAAGTGGGGGAAAGGATACCCTTTTCAACAAATGGTGCTGGGATAGTTGGCTAGCCACATGTAAGAGAATGAAACTAGATCTTCATCTCTTACCTTATATAAAAATCAACTCAAGATGGATTAAGGACTTAAATCTAAGACCTGAAACTATAAAAATTCTGGAAGATAACATCAGAAAAACCCTTCTAGTCCTTGGCTTAGGCAAGGATTTCATAACAAAGGACCCCCAAACAAATGCAACAAAAACAAACAAATAGGTGTCACCTAATTAAACTAAAGAGCTTCTGTATGTCAAAAGGAACAGTCAACAGAGTAAACAGACAACCCACAGTGTGGGAGAAAATCTTCACAATCTATACATCTGACAAAGGACTAGTATCCAGCATCTATGACGAACTCAAATTGGTAAGAAAAAAAAAAAAAGAAAACAATCCCATCAAAAAGTGGGCTAAGAACGTGAATAGTCAACTCTCAAAAGATATACAAATGGCCAAACATGTAAAGAAATGTCCAACATCACTAAAGAGCTTCTGATCAGGGAAATGCAAATCAAAACCACAATGCGATACCACCTTCCTCCTATGAGAATGGCCATCATCAAAAAATCAAAAAACAGTAGATGTTGGTGTGGATGCAGTGAACAGGGAACACTTCTACATTGCTGGTGGAAATGTAAACTAGTACAGCCACTGTGGAAAACAGTGTGGAGAGTCCTTAAATAATTAAAAGTAGAACTAACATTTGATTCAGCCATCCCAATACTGGGTATCTACCCAGAGGAAAAGAAGTTATTATTCAAAAAAGATACCTACACAGATGTTTATAGCAGCACAATTCGCAACTGCAAAATCGTGGAACCAACCCAAATGCCCATCAATCAACAAGTGGATAAAGAAACTGTGGTGTCTATACATATACACATATACACATATACATACACATATATATACACATATACACACACACACATACACACACACATACACACACACACACACACACACATACACACACACACACACACATACACACACACACACACACATACACACATATACACATACATACACATGATGGAATACTACACAGCCATAAAAAGGAATGAATTGACAGCATTTGCAGTGATCTGGATGACACTGGAGTCTATTATTCTAAGTGATGTATCTCAGGAATGGAAAACCAAACATCGTATTTTCTCACTGATATGTGGGAACTAAGCTATGAGGATGCAAAAGCCTAAGAATGATACAATGGACTTTGGGAACTTTGGGGAACAGTGGCAGGGGGGCAAGGGATAAAAGAGCACAAATATGGTGCAGTGTATACATGGGTGATGGGTGTACCTAAATCTTGCAAATCACCACTAAAGAACTTATTCATGTAACCAAATACCACCTGTACCCCAATAACTTATGGAAAAATAGGACAGAGGTGCAATAAAAAAATGAAATGCACCTTCCAGAGGAAGAAAGGGGGAAGCACTTATCAACTATCCTCCATGCCCCATGAGTCAAAGTTCTGTCCCATTGGGCATTAATTCATTGCCATTTCCCTGCTGTGCATGCATTGACTGATTTCTGAAACATCCAACACTTCAGCATCAGTAAAGCAAGAAATGCTATTGGGCTGTACCTGTGAAACAAGTGCCAAACTGTTTACCTCAGTAGTAGCTGAAATAGCAATAGGATCTAAAGGGATGCATAAGAGGTGTCAGATACATGTAAGTGAGCACAACAGACCTAAGTGCCATTCTTTAGAGAAGGTGGAGAGAAGAATCCTAAATTGACCATGTATTCATTCCACATCAGCTGTAAAATCCTTAGGTTACAAAATTGACTTTGAATAAGCAATATTGTGTTTTTTTTTTCCTTTGAAGCTGAGAGGGTATTCAAATAGAGATTAAATTGAGTTAAAAATTATTATACTACTTTAACATCTGATTTTAGTGACCTATAAAATTCATCTCTACTAAGCATGCATTTAACTATATGTATACAACAAATATTTATTAAGTTCCTACTGCATGCTAGCCCATAAACAAGGTGTCGCAAGAGTATAAAGATGAGTAAAATTTATTCCCTATTCTCAAATTGCTCACAGTCTAGCGAGGAGTAAGACAGCTATAAACCCAACTGCAATTCAAACAGGAAGAGCTAGGTGTCTGAGTGACCATAACCTAGTACTACTCGCTTCTGGGCCTCAGACCCTCATCAGTAAAATGAAAGGTTAAAATTGCTACCTCTAAGATCTCTTTGCTCATTGACACTATGTGAGCCTCTAAATGTCACACAAAACCAGATAATCCCAGTACAGAAACTATATTGGTTGGTTCAAATCATGCTCCTCACCTCTCTCAACAGGGGAAATTGTTTCAGAGAAAACAGGATGGGAATGTGTTCATCATGCTCACTTGTCTAAAACAAAGCCTAATTGACATTAAAACAGTTTCTGACCTCATGCAGAAGAGCAAAAGACAAGCTTTCAAAACCAAATCTAATATTGTATACATAACACTGTCATAAGCAACTGTAAAGTATCTTTAATAGCTGAAAAACCACAAGCACAATGGGTTGCTAACCACAATATTTAGTAACTGCCTGTCTACTTAACCATTGGCTACCCAAGTAAACTTCTCTATCCAAATGTTCCCATTTCTGCTCTACGATTTTAATCTCACCCTTTCTTTTCCAAAATTCCACCTACAGTAACCATCTTTTCATGACTCTTCTAGTTGAGGAATGGACTCTCAAACAGGCCTGGATACAAATCTAGATACTCTACCACTTAAGCTGTGTGACCTTAGGAAAGTTGCCTGAACATTCAATTTCAGTTTTCCTCTTCCATAAAGTGGAAGTAGTAACATCTGCCTCAAGAAAATTGTTGTGTGACATAATTAGAATTCATATGAAAATTGCCTAATAGAAGTAATTTAAAAATGATAGCAATAATTTGAACTGATTTGAAACTGGCTAGGATTGGAGTCATACTTTGGAAACAAGACCAAAGGAACAGAAAAATCACTGATCTTGGAAATACTTTATCAACGTAATAACCAGGAGGTGTTCTCACCTTTTCCTTTCATTGACCATATGTATTTTAACTTATGGGAATGGGCTAGAAGACAAAAGATGTTTTCTTCCCGTCCAGCTCAGTGCTACCTAGATTTTAATGTGTTTAAGTATCACCTAGGGACCTTATTAAAATGCAGACTCAGTAGGTCTGAGGTGGGACCTGTCATTCTGCATTTTCTAACAAGCTCCCAGGTGGTGCTGATGCTGCTGATCCATGGAAATGGGGAAGAGTTAATCCTCAGTGGGGTGAAACTGACAGATCTCTTACATGAAAGGTAGATGGAAGTGGATAAATTGCTGTCAGAGGACCAGTTTTGGCTGCCTTGTAACATGTTCATGAGTGTCCTGATATTAGTCCTTAGAATATGACAGTGGTTTTCAGTACTTGGGTACAGACTCAATACAAGTTTGAATAAGTAAGTGAAGGTATAGCAACTCACATTTCGAAAATCTAGATGGACCACAAATTTAAATTAATAAAACCATTAAAGGATTAGAAGATAGAGGAAGACTTACTTTGTAATCCTATAGTTAACCCTAAGTGTGATACAAAATTCAGAAGCTCTATGATATGCTTTGACTATATGAAATTTTGTAATAGCTACATAAGAATTATAGAATGAATAAGTAAAAGATGGCAAACATGTTTTAAAAGTTTTAACAGAGATGACAGAGTTCTAACTATCTTATTACATAAAGTATCCTACAAATAAAAAGGTTTTAATATAAAAATTGGTATAGGGTATGAACAGTGATAGAATTTGGATATTTGTCCCCACTCAAATCTCATGTTGAATTGTAGTCCCCAGTGCTGGATTTGAAGACTGGTGGGAGGTGTATGGGTCACAGGGTGGATCCCTCATGGCTTGGTGTCATCTTCACAATAGTAATATGATTTCTCACAGAAAATGGCCTTTTAAAAGTATATGCGGCCAGGCGCGGTGGCTCACGCCTGTAATCCCACCACTTTGGGAGGCTGAGGCGGGTGTATCACCTGAGGTCAGGAGTTTGAGACCAGCATGGGCAACATGGTGAAACCCTGTCTCTACTAAAAATACAAAAGGATTAGCCGGGTGTGGTGGTAGGTGCTGATAATCCCAGCTACTCAGGAGGCTGAGGCAGGAGAATTGCTTGAACCCAGGAGGCAGAGGTCGCAGTGAGCCAAGATCGCACCACTGCACCCCAGCCTGGGTGACAGAGCTAGACTCCATCTCAAAAAAAAAAAAAAAAAAAAAAGTATATGGTACCTCTACCTCTCCACCATTTGCTCCTGCTTTCACCATGTGGCATGCCTGCTCTCCTTTCCCCTCTTATCATTGTAAGCTTCCTGATGCCTCCCAAGAAGCCAAGCAGATGTCACCATCATGCATACTGTAAAGCCTGCAGAACCTGAGCCAATTTAACCTCTTTCTAAACCACCCAGATTCAGGTATTTATAGCAATTCCAGAAAGGATTAACACAGAAAATTGGTACTGAGGAATGGGGTGTTGCTATAAAGATACCTGAAAATGCAGAAGCAGCTTTGGAACTCGGTAACAGGCGGAGGTTGAAAGAGTTTAGAAGGCTCAGAAGACAACAGGAAGATTAGGGAAAGTTCATAAACTTCTTAGAAACTTGTTAAATCATTGTGACCAAAATGCTGATAGTGATATGGACAATGAAGTCCAGGCTGAGGAGATCTCATATGGAAATGAGGAACTTATTGAGAACTGGAACAAAGGTCATGTGTCTTATGCCTTAGGAAAGAGCTTGGATGCATTGGGTTTGTGTCCTAGGGATCTCTAGAAATTTAAAATTAAAATAGATGATTTAAACTATCTGGTGGAAGAAATTACTAAGCAGCAAAGCATTCAACATGTAGCCTGTCTGCTTCTAAGAGCCCACATTCACATATGGGAGCAAAGGAATGATTTAAAGTTGAAACTTAAATTTAGAAAGGGAAACAGCATAAACTTTTGGAAAATCTGCAGCATGGCCATGTGGCAGAGAAATAAAAGTTTTTTTCAGGAGAGGAATTCAAGTAGGCTGTGGAACATCCGCTTGCTAAAAAAAATTTGCAAACTAAAAGTAAGCCACATGCTGATAGCCATAACAATGGGGAAAAGGCCTCAAAAGTCATTTTGAAGACCTTCATAGCATATCTTTCCATCACAGGCCCAGAGGCCTAAGAAGGAATAGTTTTGTAGGACAGGTCCAGGGCCCCACTGCCCTGCACAGCCTTAGGACACTGTTCCCCACCTCCCAGCTGTTCCAGCCTTGGCTCAAAGGGACTCAGATACTGCTCATGCAACTGCTCCAGAAAACACAAGCCACGTAAGTATTAGCAGCTTCCACGTGGTATTAAGGCTTCAGGTGTACAGAACACAAGAGTGAATGAGGCTTAGCACCTTCTACCTATATTGCAGAAGATGGAAAAGCCTCGGTGCCCAAGCATAAGCCTGCTGCAGGGGTGGATTCTCCATGGGAAACCTCTACTAGTGTACTACTAGAAAGAAATTTGAGGTTGGAGCACCGACACAGTGTACCCACTGGGGTACTGCCTATTGAAACTGAGAAGGAGGCCACTGCCCTCCAGACTTGAGAACTGTAAACCCACTGGCAGACACACCCTGTGCATGGAAAAGCCACAGGTACTCAATAATCAGTGACAGCAGCCTTGGGGGCTGAACCCTGCAAAGCTACAGGGATGGAGCTTTATAAGGCCTTCAGAGGCTACCCCTTGCACCAGTGTGCCCTGAATGTGGGACATGAAATCAAAGGAAATTATTTTGGAGCTTTAACGACTGCCATGCTGGGTTTTGAACTTGATTGGGGCCATAGCCCCTTTCTTTAGGCTGTTTTTTTCCTTTGGAAATGGGAATGTTGAGCCAATGCCTATACCACCATTGTCTCTTTGAAGCAACTAACTTGTTTTTGATTATACAAGCTCATAGGTGGAATGTATTTGCCTTGTCTCAGATGAGACTTCGGACTTTTGAGTTAATGCTGGAATAAGCTAAGACTTTGAAGGACTGTTAGGAAGGCATCATTGTATTTTGCAATGTGAGAATGACATGAGATTTGGAAGGGGCCAGGGGCTGAGTGATACAGTATGTATATTTGTCCCACCCAAATCTCATGTTGAATTGTAATCCCCAGAGCTGGAGGTGGGGCCTAGTAGGTGGTGTTTGGATCATGGGGCTGGATCCCTCGTGGCTTGGTGCCATCTTCGTGATAGTTAAGTTCTTGTGAGATCTGGTCATGTAAAAGTGTGTGCCACCTGCTCTGTCACTCTCTCGCTCCTGCTTTTGCAGTTTGATGTGTCTGCTCCCCCTTAGCCTTCCACCATAATTGTAAGCTTCCTGAGGCCTTCCCAGAAGCTAAGCAGATGTTGACATCATGCTTCCTATAAAGCCTACAAAACTGTGAGTCATTTTCTTAATGAATTAATCAAGTTTCAAGTATTTCTTTATAGCAATTCAAGAACGGCCTAACACAGACAATTCATAGACTAGGAAATACTAAAAGATTGTAAACATATAAAAGGGAAGTATTGAGCCTCACTCACTATGAAAGACAGGTAAAATAACTACCAAATACTACATTTTTCCTATCAAATTAGCAAGATCAAAAAGTTTAATACTTTGAAATTTACCAACTTAATCATTCATAGTTTTACTAATATAGTTTGAATGAATGCCCTGAATTCTCTCATACAACATGGAATTTATCCAGATTTGAGGTGTATCTTCAGTTCTGTCAATGTTGTATTGTGTAGAGTGAGGGAAAGAGTCTCATAAATTGTTGGTATTAATGCAAATTGCTAGAGCTTATATGGGAGAAATTTGGCAATATTGATAAATATTTAAAAAGCCACCTACCATATGAGCCATCAATTCCACTGCTTGGCACTGTTCCCACTGATATAGTCACATCCATATACAGAGAGATTATATATGGTTATTCAATAAACATTGTAATACCAAAGACTCAAAATAACCTAAGTGTCAATCAATAGGGGAATGGTTCAAAAAGCAGACTAAGATATTACAAGTAGCTCATATCGATAGCTCTATATGCACAAAAAAGTGGAATAACCTCCAAGTAATACTTTTCAGATATATATATGTAATATATATTAGAGAGCAAAAGCCCAAGTGAGACAGACATATGTCTTGCATACTAAAAAATAACGGGGAAAAATATGAGATTGTTTAAGTGGAAGCTCGCATGCCCCTACATAATCAAATGTAATGCCATCATGTAATTATGACTTATAAAATTTTACTAAAGTATCTTAGATAATACCAATTATTTTTCAAGCAAGATATAATATGAATTACTGGCTCTGGGTGAAATAGCTGACATACTCCTAGTTTTTGAGGGTTAATCAGACTAAATAGTTTGAAATGTACTAATTTAATTAATCATCCATACTTTTACTAATAGTTTGAAGGAAATCCCTGAACTCTCATACAATATGGAACTTATCCACATTTAAAGTGTATCTTCAGTTCTCCCAATGAAGGGACCTTTTTATTTACAAAAAGAAGTTGTTTCTAACATATTCTTCTTACAAGTGTTACTTTTCCATAAATATAGGATAGAGGAAATGAAATGCACAGCGACATATCTACCTTTATACACTGTAGAAAACACTATAGAACGTTTAGAACTAGCAAAGGAATAGTTCTATCTCATTTGTTATTTTTATAGTCTAGTGATTTTGTGGAATCACTACATCATGGTGTAAATGATGTATAAAATGAAAAATGATCAGTTTCCTTTGCATGGAGAATATAGAGGATGCTTTGTAATTTATTTCCTACCTGTACTGTTGGCTACAGTAAAAGCTATTTTCTCACTCTCAAGTTGCCTTGATGCAGTATTTAATATCCAGTTCGACTAAAGACCCAAGGGACTCTGATGTTAGGAACTTAGTGTAAAAAGCATAGAGATGCCAATCTTGCCACCAATCACTGGTTTAATTTTTAAACATGCACCATTCAGGGTGGAAAGGTCAAGACCAGTTGTTTTAAGTGAAAAGTGTACAATGTCACACCAATTTTAGTATTTAGCAAATTAACAGATAGTAATTTTTAAAAAGCAGAACTATTAGTGTTTTGTTACAAATGTATCAAAATATCACTTCACCCTTAGTTTTAGATTTGGATTCCTTGTGGGCTTGTAGACATGCGTATTCACACTCAAGCAGAGATAACACTTTTGGATGGCAATGACACAATCTCTTAGATTACACACTTTTTCCAAAATAATGTATCTCCCACTGCCCAACTAAACTCCTAGACCATTATAGATCCTTGTAAAATAGAATACATGCTCAACAAAATGCTAAACCTGTGCAAGGAACTACAATGAATATCGAACAAACCATGCTTCTTTTACAAAATAGTTTTCTCACAAAATGTCAATGTAAACCTAGCAAGAAGCTATTGTGTAATATGTTTCTATGTATACTCACATGGAGTATTTTCAATTAATATGACTTACTCTTAATTTACTACCTCTTGTACCAAGTTGGCATACAATATATTTTTCCAAGATAAATTACCAGTGAGTGGAACCAATTGTCACATATGAGTCCCGGAGCTGAGGAAAAGTAGAATTTAACAAGGCCACTGTAGAAAAGATTGCTGCATAACTGTTCAAAATCATTTAAGTATAAAAAGACTTTATGCTTATGAAAAAAATTGTCGGAGGAGGAGCCAAGATGGCCGAATAGGAACAGCTCCGGTCTACAGCTCCCAGCGTGAGCGACGCAGAAGACGGGTGATTTCTGCATTTCCATCTGAGGTACCGGGTTCATCTCACTAGAGAGTGCCAGACAGTGGGCGCAGGCCAGTGTGTGTGCGCACCGTGCGCAAGCCGAAGCAGGGCGAGGCATTGCCTCACCTGGGAAGCGCAAGGGGTCAGGGAGTTCCCTTTCCGAGTCAAAGAAAGGGGTGACGGACGCACCTGGAAAATCGGGTCACTCCCACCCGAATATTGCGCTTTTCAGACCGGCTTAAGAAACGGCGCACCACGAGACTATATCCCACACCTGGCTCAGAGGGTCCTACGCCCACGGAATCTCGCTGATTGCTAGCACAGCAGTCTGAGATCAAACTGCAAGGCGGCAACGAGGCTGGGGGAGGGGCGCCCGCCATTGCCCAGGCTTGCTTAGGTAAACAAAGCAGCTGGGAAGCTCGAACTGGGTGGAGCCCACCACAGCTCAAGGAGGCCTGCCTGCCTCTGTAGGCTCCACCTCTGGGGGCAGGGCACAGACAAACAAAAAGACAGCAGTAACCTCTGCAGACTTAAGTGTCCCTGTCTGACAGCTTTGAAGAGAGCAGTGGTTCTCCCAGCACGCAGCTGGAGATCTGAGAACGGACAGACTGCCTCCTCAAGTGGGTCCCTGACCCCTGACCCCCGAGCAGCCTAACTGGGAAGCACCCCCCAGCAGGGGCACACTGACACCTCACACGGCAGTGTATTCCAACAGACCTGCAGCTGAGGGTCCTGTCTGTTAGAAGGAAAACTAACAACCAGAAAGGACATCTACACCGAAAACCCATCTGTACATCACCATCATCAAAGACCAAAAGTAGATAAAACCACAAAGATGGGGAAAAAACAGAACAGAAAAACTGGAAACTCTAAAACGCAGAGCGCCTCTCCTCCTCCAAAGGAACGCAGTTCCTCACCAGCAACAGAACAAAGCTGGATGGAGAATGATTTTGACGAGCTGAGAGAAGAAGGCTTCAGACGATCAAATTACTCTGAGCTACGGGAGGACATTCAAACCAAAGGCAAAGAAGTTGAAAACTTTGAAAAAAATTTAGAAGAATGTATAACTAGAATAACCAATACAGAGAAGTGCTTAAAGGAGCTGATGGAGCTGAAAACCAAGGCTCGAGAACTACGTGAAGAATGCAGAAGCCTCAGGAGCCGATGCGATCAACTGGAAGAAAGGGTATCAGCAATGGAAGATGAAATGAATGAAATGAAGCGAGAAGGGAAGTTTAGAGAAAAAAGAATAAAAAGAAATGAGCAAAGCCTCCAAGAAATATGGGACTATGTGAAAAGACCAAATCTACGTCTGATTGGTGTACCTGAAAGTGATGTGGAGAATGGAACCAAGTTGGAAAACACTCTGCAGGATATTATCCAGGAGAACTTCCCCAATCTAGCAAGGCAGGCCAACGTTCAGATTCAGGAAATACAGAGAACGCCACAAAGATACTCCTCGAGAAGAGCAACTCCAAGACACATAATTGTCAGATTCACCAAAGTTGAAATGAAGGAAAAAATGTTAAGGGCAGCCAGAGAGAAAGGTCGGGTTACCCTCAAAGGAAAGCCCATCAGACTAACAGCGGATCTCTCGGCAGAAACCCTATAAGCCAGAAGAGAGTGGGGGCCAATATTCAACATTCTTAAAGAAAAGAATTTTCAACCCAGAATTTCATATCCAGCCAAACTAAGCTTCATAAGTGAAGGAGAAATAAAATACTTTATAGACAAGCAAATGCTGAGAGATTTTGTCACCACCAGGCCTGCCCTAAAAGAGCTCCTGAAGGAAGCGCTAAACATGGAAAGGAACAACCGGTACCAGCCGCTGCAAAATCATGCCAAAATGTAAAGACCATCGAGACTAGGAAGAAACTGCATCAACTAATGAGCAAAATCACCAGCTAACATCATAATGACAGGATCAAATTCACACATAACAATATTAACTTTAAATATAAATGGACTAAATTCTGCAATTAAAAGACACAGACTGGCAAGTTGGATAAAGAGTCAAGACCCATCAGTGTGCTGTATTCAGGAAACCCATCTCACGTGCAGAGACACACATAGGCTCAAAATAAAAGGATGGAGGAAGATCTACCAAGCCAATGGAAAACAAAAAAAGGCAGGGGTTGCAATCCTAGTCTCTGATAAAACAGACTTTAAACCAACAAAGATCAAAAGAGACAAAGAAGGCCATTACATAATGGTAAAGGGATCAATTCAACAAGAGGAGCTAACTATCCTAAATATTTATGCACCCAATACAGGAGCACCCAGATTCATAAAGCAAGTCCTCAGTGACCTACAAAGAGACTTAGACTCCCACACATTAATAATGGGAGACTTTAACACCCCACTGTCAATATTAGACAGATCAACGAGACAGAAAGTCAACAAGGATACCCAGGAATTGAACTCAGCTCTGCACCAAGCAGACCTAATAGACATCTACAGAACTCTCCACCCCAAATCAACAGAATATACATTTTTTTCAGCACCACACCACACCTATTCCAAAATTGACCACATAGTTGGAAGTAAAGCTCTCCTCAGCAAATGTAAAAGAACAGAAATTATAACAAACTGTCTCTCAGACCACAGTGCAATCAAACTAGAACTCAGGATTAAGAATCTCACTCAAAGCCGCTCAACTACATGGAAACTGAACAACCTGCTCCTGAATGACTACTGGGTACATAACGAAATGAAGGCAGAAATAAAGATGTTCTTTGAAACCAACGAGAACAAAGACACCACATACCAGAATCTCTGGGACGCATTCAAAGCAGTGTGTAGAGGGAAATTTATAGCACTAAATGCCTACAAGAGAAAGCAGGAAAGATCCAAAATTGACACCCTAACATCACAATTAAAAGAACTAGAAAAGCAAGAGCAAACACATTCAAAAGCTAGCAGAAGGCAAGAAATAACTAAAATCAGAGCAGAAGTGAAGGAAATAGAAACACAAAAAACCCTTCAAAAAATCAATGAATCCAGGAGCTGGTTTTTTGAAAGGATCAACAAAATTGATAGACCGCTAGCAAGACTAATAAAGAAAAAAAGAGAGAAGAATCAAATAGACACAATAAAAAATGATAAAGGGGATATCACCACCGATCCCACAGAAATACAAACTACCATCAGAGAATACTACAAACACCTCTACGCAAATAAACTAGAAAATCTAGAAGAAATGGATACATTCCTCGACACATACACTCTCCCAAGACTAAACCAGGAAGAAGTTGAATCTCTGAATAGACCAATAACAGGCTCTGAAATTGTGGCAATAATCAATAGTTTACCAACCAAAAAGAGTCCAGGACCAGATGGATTCACAGCCGAATTCTACCAGAGGTACAAGGAGGAACTGGTACCATTCCTTCTGAAACTATTCCAATCAATAGAAAAAGAGGGAATCCTCCCTAACTCATTTTATGAGGCCAGCATCATTCTGATACCAAAGCCAGGCAGAGACACAACCAAAAAAGAGAATTTTAGACCAATATCCTTGATGAACATTGATGCAAAAATCCTCAATAAAATACTGGCAAACCGAATCCAGCAGCACATCAAAAAGCTTATCCACCATGATCAAGTGGGCTTCATCCCTGGGATGCAAGGCTGGTTCAATATACGCAAATCAATAAATGTAATCCAGCATATAAACAGAGCCAAAGACAAAAACCACATGATTATCTCAATAGATGCAGAAAAGGCCTTTGACAAAATTCAACAACCCTTCATGCTAAAAACTCTCAATAAATTAGGTATTGATGGGACGTATCTCAAAATAATAAGAGCTATCTATGACAAACCCACAGCCAATATCATACTGAATGGGCAAAAACTGGAAGCATTCCCTTTGAAAACTGGCACAAGACAGGGATGCCCTCTCTCACCGCTCCTATTCAACATAGTGTTGGAAGTTCTGGCCAGGGCAATCAGGCAGGAGAAGGAAATAAAGGGTATTCAATTAGGAAAAGAGGAAGTCAAATTGTCCCTGTTTGCAGACGACATGATTGTTTATCTAGAAAACCCCATCGTCTCAGCCCAAAATCCCCTTAAGCTGATAAGCAACTTCAGCAAAGTCTCAGGATACAAAATCAATGTACAAAAATCACAAGCATTCTTATACACCAACAACAGACAAACAGAGAGCCAAATCATGGGTGAACTCCCATTCACAATTGCTTCAAAGAGAATAAAATACCTAGGAATCCAACTTACAAGGGATGTGAAGGACCTCTTCAAGGAGAACTACAAACCACTGCTCAAGGAAATAAAAGAGGACACAAACAAATGGAAGAACATTCCATGCTCATGGGTAGGAAGAATCAATATCGTGAAAATGGCCATACTGCCCAAGGTAATTTACAGATTCAATGCCATCCCCATCAAGCTACCAATGACTTTCTTCACAGAATTGGAAAAAACTACTTTAAAGTTCATATGGAACCAAAAAAGAGCCCGCATTGCCAAGTCAATCCTAAGCCAAAAGAACAAAGCTGGAGGCATCACACTACCTGACTTCAAACTATACTACAAGGCTACAGTAACCAAAACAGCATGGTACTGGTACCAAAACAGAGATATAGATCAATGGAACAGAACAGAGCCCTCAGAAATAATGCCGCATATCTACAACTATCTGATCTTTGACAAACCTGAGAAAAACAAGCAATGGGGAAAGGATTCCCTATTTAATAAATGGTGCTGGGAAAACTGGCTAGCCATATGTAGAAAGCTGAAACTGGATCCCTTCCTTACACCTTATACAAAAATCAATTCAAGATGGATTAAAGATTTAAACGTTAAACCTAAAACCATAAAAACCCTAGAAGAAAACCTAGGCATTACCATTCAGGACATAGGCGTGGGCAAGGACTTCATGTCCAAAACACCAAAAGCAATGGCAACAAAAGACAAAATTGACAAATGGGATCTAATTAAACTAAAGAGCTTCTGCACAGCAAAAGAAACTACCATCAGAGTGAACAGGCAACCTACAAAATGGGAGAAAATTTTCGCATCCTACTCATCTGACAAAGGGCTAATATCCAGAATCTACAATGAACTCAAACAAATTTACAAGAAAAAAACAAACAACCCCATCAAAAAGTGGGCGAAGGACATGAACAGACACTTCTCAAAAGAAGACATTTATGCAGCCAAAAAACACATGAAGAAATGCTCATCATCACTGGCCATCAGAGAAATGCAAATCAAAACCACTATGAGATATCATCTCACACCAGTTAGAATGGCGATCATTAAAAAGTCAGGAAACAACAGGTGCTGGAGAGGATGCGGAGAAATAGGAACACTTTTACACTGTTGGTGGGACTGTAAACTAGTTCAACCATTGTGGAAGTCAGTGTGGCGATTCCTCAGGGATCTAGAACTAGAAATACCATTTGACCCAGCCATCCCATTACTGGGTATATACCCAAATGAGTATAAATCATGCTGCTATAAAGACACATGCACACGTATGTTTATTGCGGCACTATTCACAATAGCAAAGACTTGGAACCAACCCAAATGTCCAACAATGATAGACTGGATTAAGAAAATGTGGCACATATACACCATGGAATACTATGCAGCCATAAAAAATGATGAGTTCATATCCTTTGTAGGGACATGGATGAAATTGGAAACCATCATTCTCAGTAAACTATCGCAAGAACAAAAAACCAAACACCGCATATTCTCACTCATAGGTGGGAATTGAACAATGAGATCACATGGACACAGGAAGGGGAATATCACACTCTGGGGACTGTGGTGGGGTTGGGGGAGGGGGAAGGGATAGTATTGGGAGATATACCTAATGCTAGATGACACATTAGTGGGTGCAGCGCACCAGCATGGCACATGTATACATATGTAACTAACCTGCACAATGTGCACATGTACCCTAAAACTTAAGAGTATAATAAAAAAAATAAAATAAAATAAAATAAAAATAAATGAAAAAAAAAAAAAAAAGAAAAAAATCGTCAGCAGTAGATTGCTTGATTGCTTTAACAGAAGCCAAAGGATTTGGTAATCCCATCTTGTGGTGACAGAATTGTTCAGGAGCTCAGGCAGAGGTAGTGAGGGTGACCAGAGATGAAAGGGAAAAGCGATGGGGCAAAGAGTAGCTGAGGGGAAGAGACAGGATGGATTTTGTAAGCTGAATGCAGACCAGCAGCTGCAATTTTCTATCATTTGATCAGGCCCATTTGCTGAGCAGAGAAATACAGGGTGGGTGGTTATACCACTGCCACATTATCCTTTTCGAATTGAGTCTAAATTGATTCAGGTTTTGAGAAGGCCCAGGAAGCACTGATGACTGCTGTCGCAGGAAAAAAAACAGCCTTCAAATAAGCAAAGGGCATCGTGAAGTTAAGAGACATCAGTGGTTCCTCAGACGCAAAACTCTGAAGCTCAAGGAAGGACATGTGCAGGCAGAGGTACAGGCCAAAGGAATATTGGAAAACTTAGTAGAAAAGGTTTAACGGGAATATGTGCTATAACTTAGGGCATTTTTACAGAGTCCAGAGGTAGAAAAACATACAGTAAATATATATATATTTGAGTAATTTATTGTTGATTTAAAGCCTAATAGCATAATTTTAAAATTTATTCCTTTTGTGTATTGCTAACGTAGAGAAGTTAACTTTTCAGTTTGCTCAAAAATCCCCACCACGAACAATTATTTGACCTGAAACCAACAAACATTGACTCTTCGCTTTCCTATTTCATAGTCCTCTGTGTAAAGCTATACTAATTAAGATAGTAGGCTAATAGAAATTTAAAATTCAAGGGAAAATATTGAAAACCTGGAATGGGCCTGAATATATGCATAATCTTAACATGTTGTGAAGTAATTATCTAAAAGAAGAAGAGATGAATTATTCAATAAATGATATTGTGGAAATTAGCTATTTTGGAACAAATGAAACATTTTTATCCTTACCTTATAAGCCAAAATAAAAATCTAGATGGGTTAAAGAATTAAGATTGAAAAAAACCTAGAACTATAAACAGTAAATATTTAGCTGTCTTGAAATGGGAAAGGGCTTCCTGAGCATACGACCAATGAAAGCCAACACAAGAAAAATTACATCAATTCAATTACATAGAAAC
Source organism: Homo sapiens (assembly GCF_000001405.40). NCBI lineage: Eukaryota > Metazoa > Chordata > Mammalia > Primates > Hominidae > Homo > Homo sapiens. The sequence continues at coordinate 147,660,949 of NC_000023.11, forward strand.
TTTGAAATTTGGCATTAAAAACTGGGAAAACTATCAGCAGAGAAGAATGTTTTCTAGAACTATACATAAAAGTATTAACATCCTAAAGACCGATAACTCATGTAAATTGAGATTCATTAACATTCTCCAAAATACAACATGTGAGGAAACATTCAGCTTTGTTAGTAATTGGAACTGCAATTTAAATCAAGTAGAAATGCCATTCTCCCACTTATGAAGTTGGCAATAATTTTTAAATGAAATAAAGTATTTATGGCTGTGCTGTCAAATAGGGCAATGACTAGCCACTTGAAGTGTAGCTAGTTCAAACTCAGATGTGTTGTAAAATATAAAATACACACCGGAATTCCAAAGCTCAGTAAAGTAAAATATCTCAGTAATTTTATATAGATTAAATGTTGAAAGAATAATATTTTACATATATTGGGTTAAAACCAATACTACATAAAATTCATCTATGTTTTACTTTTTTATTTATGGTGTCACTTTAAGTTAGAGATGTTGCTTACATTGTATTTCAAGTAGACAGTGCTGCTATATGGTAATTAGGGGGCAAAGAAATAGTTACACTCATATACTACTATTGGGTATACAAATCACAACAGCACCATTTCTGGGTGACATTTCAGTGTATTTATCCAAAGCACTTAATTAAGAGTCACTGTACCTTTTGACTCAATTACAACTCTAGGACTATCTTAAGAAAGTAACCAGAGACAGAACAATTAGACAAATAATTTGTATACAACATATGTGTTAATAATAATGAAAGGTTAGAAACAAGATAAGTGTTCAGTAATGGAAATAATTATAGTGTGCCCATTGATGACACGATGAAATACATATGATACAAAGTTATGTGAAAAAGAGGATACTGTGTATGATTATCATCCCAAATGTGTGAAGAATTTATACACACACACACACACACACACACACACACACACAGATAAAAGAATGCATGAAAATGTACCATCATGAGAGTTTTTTCTGGGTTATAAAATTATCAATTATCCATGTCATTTGTGTATATTTGTATTTGCAAAGTTTTGATAAGCATATGTTCATTTTAATTTAAAATTTAATTTTCTTTTTGAAAAAAATATTGCCTCCTAATTTGTTCAAACTGATACAAATCACAGCTAGGCCAGGTAATAAGGAAATCATTAGCAATGAAACTCTCGAGCAGGAGCCATATGTTTGTTTAGGGAATATCTTAGTTGTATTTACAAGACAGCTCAAAGAATAGTTTAGAAAAGAATACAATATAGGGTCAAGTTTCAATATGAAAGGAAAACTAGCTTAACCTTTTTTCTAGGCTGAGGCTTTCTTGCTGGCTACCTGTTGGGTCACAACTTAATGAACGAAAGAGACTAGACCTGGAGCAGATGACTGATGGGTGTAGTAGATATACAACCTTGAATAGTTTTCTGCCTCACTGCTCAACATGAAGTGTTTTAAATGCCAACATATTATTTAAAATTTTTTCTTTATATACATTTGGGGGATACAAATGCAATTTTGTTACATGGAAATATATCCATGCAATATAGTGGTGAAGTCTGGGCTTTGAGTGTAACCATCAGCCAAATACTGAACATTTTATCCTTTAAAAGTAATTTCTCATCCCTCGATCCCCTTCCACCCTCCCACCCTTCCAAGTCTCCATCTTCTATTATCCTACCATATATCCATGTGTATACATTATTTAGCTCACATGTATAAATAAGAACACCTGGTATTTGACTTTGAGTTATTTCACTTAAGATAATGGCCTCCAGTTCCATCCATGTTGCTGCAAAAAACATGACTTCATTCTGTTATATAACTATTATTCTATGGTGTATATGTATCACAGATTCTTTATCTAGTCCTCTGTTGCTGAAAAAGAATTTCATTCTGTTTTATGGCTGAGTATTATTTCACTGTGTGTATGTACCACGTTGGCTTTATCCAGTCATCTTTCCACGGACACTTAAATTGATTCTATGTCTTTGCTATCGTGAATAGTACTGCGATAAACATACAAGTGCAGGCATCTTTTTGATATAGTGAATTCTTTTCCTCTGGGTAGATACCCAATAGTGGGATTGCTGGATCAAATGGCAGTGCCATTTTTAGTTATTTGAGAAATCTCCATACTGTTTTCCATAAAGGCTGTACTAATTTACATTTCCACCAGCAGTATACAAGCATTCTCTTTTCTCTGAATTATTGCCAACATGTTTTACATGTTGTCTTTTTAATAATAAACACTGACTGGTGTAAGGTAATTATCTCATTGCTGTTTTAATTTGCACTTCCTTGACAATTAGTGCTTTTGAACATTTTCTTCATGTGCTTGTTGGCCATTTACATGTCTTTTGAAAAATGTCTGTTCATGTCCTTTGCCCACTTTTTAATGGAGTTGTTTGTCGTTGAGTTTGGGTTTCTTGTACATTCTGGGTATCAGTCCCCTGTCAGATTGAAAAATATTTTCTCCCGTTCTGCTGGTTGTCTGTTCAGTCTGTTATTTCTTTTGACATGCAGAAGCTTTTTAGTTTAAGTTAATCCCAACGTGTCTATTTTTGTTTTCATTGTGCTTGTTTTTGAAGTCTCAGTCATAAATTCTTTGCCTAGACCAATTCCAGAGGAGTTTTTCCCTAGGTTTTCTCCTAGGATTTTTTTTTTTTTATAGTTTCAGGTCTTACATTTATGTCTCTGATCCATCATCAGTTGATTTTTGTATACGTGAGATTTAAGGATTGATTCATTTTTCTGTGTTATAGCTATCCAGTTTTCTCAGCACCATTTATTGAAGAGGGTATTCTTTTCCCAATGTGTGTTTTTGTTGATTTTGTCAAAGATTAGTTGGCTGTAGATACGTAGCTTTGTTTCTGGATTCTGGATTCTATTCCATTGATCTATGTCTGTTTTTAATACCATGTTTAGAGCCAGTATTTTTAGAACCAGTACCATGATATTTTCATTACTGCAGCCCTGTAGTATAATTTGTGGTCAGGTGTTGTGATGTTTCCAGCTTTCTTCTTTTTGCTTAGGATTGTTTTGGCTATTCACGCTCTTTTTTGGTACTGTATGAATTTTAGAATTATTTTTTCTAACTCTGGAAAATGACATTGGTATTTTTGATTGCATTGAATCTACAGGTTGCTTTGTAAATGCCTACAAATTATTTAGCTATATAAATACCCAGCCTCATTTTCTACTCATCAATAAGTAGTTATCTTGTTTTTCATACTTTCTTCTGCTGAAGATATCAGGGACATCTCTTGGTATGTAAGTGATGCGAAAAGATTGGTTTACCAGAAGTGAGGGCAAGTGTCTAGCTTTTCCATAAATCGCCCAGTTCTGTTCAACCTTAGCCAAAAAGACTCATATCCAAAAGACATGGGTTAATTTTATGTAAGCAGGCATCAGAAAGAGACTCAGCATTTGTTACGCAAGCATTTGAGTGAATGAAGATTCACTCATCTTCATGATTAATTCATCCAAGAGACCAAAAAGGTATCGTAGAACTCATTAGCTGAATTTTTGCAGGGCAGCAAAAGTGAGAAACTACTTGGTTTTCCATGTAACATTTGAATCTTTTGGAGAAGAGATATTTTGGGTTGCATAAAATAATTGTTTAATTTATAACTGTTATAAGTCTTTATTGCAAATCTCACAAGCTACTATTTGAAACAATATCTCTATTGTTTGCAGTCAAAAGCATTCCATAGTTTGCAGTCAAAAGCATTCCAATTTTAACTGTCAAAACTGAGCATCATATGCAAACTCCATAAACTTAGGGTGGACTCACTCATGAACACTAAAACTCTTGAATCTTTTTTTACCTGGAATCTTCTGCCCTGACACCCATAAGCTCATTATTTGTGAAAAAAATGTTGGAGAAGCCATGTCCAGGTAATATCTTACCTCGTGCAGAAAAAAAGTGAGTTGTACCTACAAGGAAGTATTAGAGTAGACATCACTCCCTGAGCTTAAGTTTACTCATCTCTTCATCTCTGACAATCTGTGATTTGTACCCCCATTAGAATGAATTCTTGGAAAATTTAAGTCATTCTATTTCATATTTTTTGTGTCAATAAATCATATAGGAAATACATATAACATTTATAAATACATATGGCTTTTAAAGACAACATCTTACCTGAAATCATTTATAACTGCCGTTCTTATTACCACTCTAATGAATCCTATAAAACTCATTACATAATTAACCTTTATATATATGATTGTGTATCTTTGTATTCACTTGACTCCTTAAACCATTTTTAATAACCTTACTAAGAAACTATTTTTATATAATGTTCTATGTTGTATATAATATTGTATATACATAATATATACAGTGTATATGTGTGTGATATATATGTCTCAAGAAAAAGTTTTAGTAAGGTGGAATATATATATCTATATTCCAATACTTAGCAGTTAATGCACCCATCATACAATTCAGGTGGGACTCAACCCAACACAGAGACATCCCGTCAGATTTGACAAGATTCCCTTTATGGGGATATATCAGTGTTCTGTCTACTGAAAAGTTAAACTTGTGAATTTATATAAGGAACTCATTAACCCTTCAATATCAACCGTAGGTGTGTTTCTAAAAGATAAAAATTTGATATTCAAATCTTATGTCTTATTTCTATTAAAACACTAACTTTTACTTTTCAACAAAGTTGGCTCAAACAGGAGTTTTACAACCCATAAAATAAAAATGACCAAATAAAAGTGGACTCTAAGCAAATATCCCTGTTTTATATACATCCATTTATCATTGGCTCATTTCTCTTCATAATAGATGAATTTTACTGGAATTTTACTATCATTTTTACTATTATTCTTTTAAATAGTTCTAAAGTGCACTTTTCCAATGTGCTGTTTACATAATGTATGTTCTGCTAATATTGGCTCAGTAAACAATGGAGGAAATGCTTTGTTTAGCAAAAGAAATTTAAAATATCATGTGAACTATCACTATCACATGATTTAAATTGTGTTATTTTATTTTTTAAAACATTAATGTCTTTTTATTTTTTGTTAGGAGATTTAAAAGAGACTGTATGGTATAGTGACATAAATGCCAGATCTATAATTCAACAAACTGGGGTTCCCAACCCAGCTCTATCATGTACAAGATGCCCTGATCTAACTCAGTGTAGGTTCTACCTGTCTTTCAAGCAAGAATTGTAAAACATACTTGGGTAGCTGTTACAAGGATCAAAGGATTGGTAACTTCAAGCAGATATTCAGAACTTTTGTTTTCACAAAATGCAGACTAAACAATTTAGCCATTTCTACCACTGAAGACAACTAAAACATTGTAAAAAAAAAAAATTAAAATGTCCATTAAATTAAAGAGCTTATAGTAAGAAATTTCCAGCAGCCAGAAAATCATAGATAAAAAGAACCTGGATAAAAACTCAAAGCTATTTTGACTCTAAGGGTATATGCTGATCCAAAAGGAGAAGCTGAGGAACTAGGCTGCACTTTCAGTAACTTTGCAGACCTAAAGGAACAAAAGTCAAAACACAGGGCCTACCTGATCAGAAACACTGAGAAACCTTCTCTTTTTAAGGCTAAAACAAAAGGACCTCACTTCCCAGGTTAGGATGAAACAAAAAACCATCCCTCACACTGAATTGCAGACCAGTTTTGCAACATCTGGGATGTTCAGGGAAATTTAATCTCAATTAATTTTGAAACCAGTTAAGAAAAAAATGGAATGAAAAAAAAAAATCAGTCCAGCTGAAACCGAGAAAGAGGGACAAAGAAAACACAGAAGTCAAATAAAAAGCTCAAAATAAGATGAATTTAACCCAAATATATCAGTAATAATAATCAATGCAAATAAAAGAACTACTCCAGTTAAAAGATAGAATTGTGAGATTGTATTGGGGAAAAACACACACATGCACGTGCGCACGCACATACACACACACGCGCCAGGCACGGTGGCTCATGCCTGTAATCCCAGCACTTTGGGAGGCCGAGGTGGGTGGATCATGACGTCAAGAGATCGAGACTATCCTGGCCAACATGGTGAAACCCTGTCTCTACTAAAAATACAAAAAAATTAGCTGGGCATGGTGGTATGCGCCTGTAGTCCCAGCTATTCAGGAGGCTGAGGCAGGAGAATCCCTTGAACCTGGGAGGCAGAGGTTGCAGTGGGCCAAGATCACTCCACTGCACTCCAGCCTGAGTGACAGAGCAAGACACCATCTCGAACAAACCAAAACGAAACAACACAAAACAAAAAAATCAACTCTTTACAAGAAAGAAATCTAAAACACAATTTCAACTACAAGTTGAAAGATGGAGACATACGTCATGCAAACACTAACAGATGCCTGGTGTACTTATATTAATAGCAAATTTTACTTTCAGGCAAAATTATTACCAAAGATCAAGAGAATCACTGCCTAATGATAAGAGATTTAAATAACTAGTAGGCTTAAACAATCCTAAAGTTGTATGCAACAAATAATGTAAGCTAAAAATACGTAAATGAAAATTTAACAGAGCTACAGGTAAAACTAGACAGACATACAGTTCTGCTGGAAGATCTTAACATAACTCAGTAACTAATAGAGTGATCAACAGATAAGAATATAGAACATATTAACATCATAAACAAAATTGACCTAGTGGAAATATTTAGATCACCATATGGGAAAACATACATTAACCTCAGGAAAATGTAGATCATTTACCAAAAATATTAAGTTGGACATAAAGCATATCTCAAATTTTAGAGCACTGAAGTATATGTTCTCTGACCACAGAGTAACTAAAAGAAAATGTTTTTAAATGAACTAGAAAACCCCCGTATGTTTAAAAATTAATATTTGTAAATAATCTATAGCCTAAAGAAAAATTTGTAGTGTTTTGAACTAAATCATAATAACTAATACCTATCAAGTTGCATGATATGCACTTAAATCAGTACTTAGAGAAAAATGTATAGCCTGAAGAACATATGTTAGAAGAGGACAATATAAAAATAAGTGAGCTTAAAATTTAGAAAGAACAAAATAAATCCTCCAAAATAATAGAGATTAGGAAATACTAATAAGATAGAAAAACAAAAATATAGAGGTTCAAAAATTTAAAGTTGGTTCTTAAAATAATGAACAAAATGTTTAATCGTATATGAAGAGTGATTAGAAGATAAACGACATTAAATATAAGAAATCAAAAGGAGACATGACTACAAATATAATAAAAATAAGCCTAAAAATGTAGACAAAGTGGGCAAATTCCTCAAAATAATTAACTTACCAAAACGTTGTCAAGAATAGAATATATGAACATTCCTATAATTATGACATACATGTATGTACACACACACTAAAAATTCAATAGAAAGAGAACTTTTTAACTATCAAGTTTTATTAATCATTTGAGGAAGAAAAATTCTAATCTTACACAACTTATTCCATAAAATTTAGAAAGAGGTTACACTCAACTCATTTAATGAGGCTAATATACCCCTGATACCTAAACCCAAAACAATGATTTGAAAAAGGAAAATTATAAGCCAGTCTTACTAATGGACAGAGATATAAAGTGCTAACAAAATAGTAGTAATCCAAATAAAAAATAAAAGGATAATACATTGTGCTCATGTCAGGTTTAATCTCAGGAATTCAAAGTTGTTTAACATTAAATAATCAAAAAATATAATTTACTACATTAACAGGTCAGAAAAGGAAAAAACTATCATGTCAATACATGCAGAAAAAGCACTTGATAAATTTCAACATTAAGTCAATAAAAAGTAACTCTTAGCAAATCATGCATAGAAGGTAACTTCACTACCCTGATGATAGTTGTCTTCAAAACATCTATTAGGCTGGGCACAGTGGCTTGTACCTGTATTCCCAGCACTTCGGGAGGCTGAGGCGAGAAATCACTTGAGTCCAGGAATTCGAACCTAGTCTGGACAACAAGCAAGACCCAGTCTCTATAAAAAAGCAAACAAACATTAACAGACATCATACTTAATTGTGATGCATCAACATTTTGCTCAATGCAGATTAGAATCTAAGGTTTTTCACACTCTAAGAATTAGTTGACCACTAGCCAGGAACAAGATAGAAGCCTTTAACTGTAAAAGGTGCTTTGCACAGTTTTTCCCTTGATAATATCGAACTTTATCTGAGCCCTGTGTTCCCAGAAAGCAGCTACAGTTAAGAAATATCCCTCTAACCCTGGTGTGTTCCAGGAAAGGGCAAACCATAAAGGGCTACTCGGTCTTCAAATATATTCCCCTCATGACACTATCTACTTTTTCTGAGGACAACTTGTTAATTTCCTCTACAAAACTTAAGGCTTTCTCCTTTTCTTTGAGATAAAATCTTTCCCTTTAAAATTGGAAACAAGGTAAGACTATCCACTATAATTACCCCTGTTCAACATTACTGCTTTGTAATGTTCAACATTGTCCTAGCAAGGACAGTAGGACAAGAAAAATTCTAAGTGGTATAGGAATAGAAAAAGAAATACAGTTGTCATTAGTGGTAGATGATAGGATCATTCAAATTTTAAAACCCATAAGAATCTACAGTTAAAACATTAGCATGGGAGGATTTGTTTATTAATGAACCATTTGGATTAATGAAAATTAACTTAGCAGGTTTCCTGGATAAAGTATCAATAGAAAAGTATCAAGTGTGTTTCTCTATATAGGCAATAACAGTTATAAATTTTTAAAAACCTGCCATGTACAAAAACAAAAGATATCAAGAACCTAGGAATAAAGACACAAGACCTCTAGTGGGGAGGATTATAATATTTTAGATATCACTAAGCCTGTATCAAAACATCTCATGTACCCCATCAATATACCAACTATGTACCCACCAAAAATTAAAAATAAAAAAAGGTTAAAAAAATTAGAAACATTTAGAAATACAAATAGAAGATGTGATAGTTAAGGATTTGAATACTCACTAAAGTTGAAAATGTCATTTCCCCCCAAACTGACCTGGAGATTTCATATAATGCCAATTAAAATTACAACGGGGGTGATTCTCAGTGCCAGCAAAGATGTAGTCAGCCCCTTACAGCCTGTCTCTTACCGATTATAGCTAAAAACTCTGGACCAAATACAAAAGCAACTACCTGAGGGTTCTGAAAAGTAAATAATAAAAGGCAAACTGGGGAGGTGATTCAATACTTACGAAACAATTGATACAGAAAGGTTTTTCTCAGCTTCAATCTGAATGTGGCCTCAGTCATGGGACTGTATAGTGGGATTAAGTAGCCAAAAATCTGAAAGAAAGCCTGTTTTTGTAGCTAGAGGACCAACAGAAGGACATGGGAGCCAGTGAGTGTGAGGGGAACCTTGTGTTGGAGAAGGAGATCCTATAATTCTGGATTTGGATAGGCAAAAGTCCCAGACTCAGCCCTGTTTTTCTGACCATAGTGCTAAAAAAAGGGGGTCACTAGAGAATGAGAGGAAAATCTCATTTTTCTGTTGTGTCACTTTCCACGAAAATTATGTGACAACAGCATAAGCAGCTAAACTATGGGAGAATCCCATATTTATCACCAGGATAAAAGAAAAATAAGAGAAGGGGGGACCTACAGTCCAAAGAGTATGGAAGAAAATCCCAATTTTTTTTCTCTTTTTTCAATAGAGATCATCTAACCTGAAGAAAAAAGACAAAAATGTTTAATAAAAAAATAGACAGATGCCCAGAAACCTGTGAAACGGTATCAAGCATTCACGTCATTGGAGTTCCATGAGAAGAGAATCAAATTGGTGCAGAAAATACATTCGAATAAGGCCTAAAAACTTCATACAATTGATGAAATAGATAAATGTAGATATTTAAGACACTCAATTAACTGAGAGCAAGACACATTCAACAAAACCATGCAGAGACTCATCATAATCAAACTGTAAAAAAACCAAAGATAAAGCCTTGAAAGCAACCAGAGAAAAACTGATACATTACAGATAAGGGGACACCGATTCAAATAATTGAAAAATTTTATGAAAAATAAAGACCAGAAGACAACAGAATAAAATCTGAGTGCTGAAGGTAAGAACTATTATCTCAGAATTTTATAACAAAGAAAAATGTCTTTCAAGAACTTATATGAAAGAGAAACATAGAAAGAGGAAGATGAAAAGCATTTATCACTGGCAGATTTGCTTTATAGCTAAATGAACTTTGTCAGTCTGAAACGAAGTGATACTAGAGGGAAGCTTGTAATTTTAGAAATGAAGAGCAGCAGAAATGGTAAATATCTGAGTAAACATAATAGACTCTTGTTCTCTTGTTAAATTATGCAAAATGTACATGACTGTTGAAAGCAAAAACTGTCTAGTTTTCAATGTATATATATGTAATACATGTGACAACAAGGTGGGAGGACAAAGGGACCTAGATTGTACTTAAGCTTCTACATTTTACTTGAAATGGTGAAATACTAAGTAGACTGAAAGGTAAAATATAATAACTATAGCAAACACTAAAAAGATATAATACAAACAAAAGTAGCTTAGAGTTAAACAGATACATTAAAATGGAATACTGAAAAGGTTTAGAAAAAAGTACATAAACCCAATTCAATGCAGAAATGATAGTCTTCAACAAACATTCCAAGAAACATTTGATATCCATATCCAAAAAAACCTCCATCCCTTATCTCATACCTTATTCAAAAATTAATACAACAATGCAGTATAGACTTTAATATGGAAAATTTCCAAAGAAAAAACCTTTGTGACCTTGGGTTAACAAAGAGTTTTTAGATGTGACAAACAGGCAATGCAAAGAACTTTGATAAACCAGACTTCTTCAAACTTTAAAACAAACAAAAAAAAAACAGCTTTTTTTCCTGCAGAAGACAGAGCTTTTAGTCTGGCTTCTTTCATTCAGCATAATGTCTCAGATTTTTTTCAAGTGTTACATGTATCAATAGTTTATTCCATTTTATTGCCGAGTAGCCTAGAATTGTATGAATGTACCACAATTTGTCTATTCATTCATTGAGAGGAACTTGGATAAAATGACAAACTTTACCCTGAGAAAAATATTTGCAAATCACGTATCTGTAAAGAGTTCTATCCAGGATATACATTTAGACGCTCAAAAGTTAATATAAAATCAAACCCTAATCAAAAATGAAAAAACGATTGAACAGAGCCTTCAGAGAAGATATGCATATGGTGAATAACTGCATGAAAAGATGTTTAACATCATTCATCCTTAGAGAAATGCAAGAAAAAAAAAACTTAGCAATATATCACTATACATGTACTAGAATGGCTATTTTTTAGAAAGACAATCACAAATGCTGGTGGGGATATGGAGAAACTAAAACTTTGCTATACCACTAGTAAGAATGCAAAATGATATAGCCATTTTGGAAAAAAAATGGGGGAAGCTTCTTATAAAGTTAAACATACACTTATTGTATGACCCAGCAATCCTACTTTTGAGAAATGAAAATGTGCACACAAAATTCTATATTGTGAAAGTTTATAGCAACATTATTCATAATCCTCAAAAACTGTCTACCCAAGTTCCTCTCAATGAATGAATAGCCAAATTGTGGTACATTCATACAATTCTATGCTACTCAGCCATAAAATGGAATAAACTATTGATACATGCAATACTTGAAAAAAATCTGAGACATCATGCTGAATGAAAGAAGCCAGACTCAAACGCCCTATCAAAGGCTGCATGCGGTGCCTCACACCTGTAATCCTTGCACTTTGGGAGGCCAAGGCAGGCAGATCACAAGGTCAGGAGATGGAGACCATCCTGCCCAACATGGTGAAACCCCATCTATTAAAATACAAAAAATCAGCCAGGTGTGATGGCAGTCACCTGTAGCACCAGCTACTCAGGAGGCTGAGGCAGGGGAATCACTTGAACCCGGGAGGCAGAGGTTGCAGTGAGCCAAGACTGCGCCACTGCACTCCAACCTGGAGAGAGACTCAGTCTCAAATAAATAGCCCTACCAAAGGTTAACAGATTAGAGTGGGGAATATTTGACAACAAACAAGCATCACAAAGGCATTTTCAGTGGTGATGTAACTGTTCTATATCTTGATTGTGGTGGTAGTTACACAACTTTACGTACTTGTCAAAACTTATAGAACAGTATACCCTAAAGATTTTATTTTTTCATTTTACATTATGAAATTTAAAAAATTAAAAATTAAACACTTAAAGTTTGTTTTGGTAAAGGGTTATTTTGGCAAAGTGTATGAGAATGTGAGTGTGTGTGTTTGAGTGTGTGTGTGTGTGTGTGAGAGAGGGATTATGTTTGTGCCTGTGAATTTAACAAAGCTGACTCAAAGTTATATAGAAATTTACTGGGTCAATAATAGCCATGACACTTTAAGAAGAAAGAGGTGAAAAGTCTTGCTCTGCTAAATATGAAGATTAAAAGCATTACTAATTACATAATGTAATATTGGTGCTAGAACAGACAAGTAGAGAAACAGGGAAAAAAAAAAAAAAAAAGAGTCCACAAACAGACCCACGCATGGAGAGACATTTGAATTACAGCAAAGGATGGGAAAGGATAATCTTTTTAGTAAGAGATGCTGGGATAATTGAGTAACGATATGAAAAAATGTTAAACTGAACCTCCAACTCGCTCTTCTATTACCAACTCCAGGTGGATTTTAGACTAAAATGTGAAAACGTGAAAGTATAAAGCATCTTCATAATATAGAAGAATGTCACATATGGAATTATTTTTAAGATGAGATGAAAGGCATAAAGCATAAATGATTGATATAAACTTGAACAAATTTATCAAAGTTATATATGATTTTCTCAAAATTATCTTGAAATTAAAAATGTCCATCAAAAGACACAATAGACAAGCTATAGAATATAAGAAGATATTTGCAGTATCAGTGGGCTCATTTCTAGAATATATAAAGAGCTGCAACATAAATGTGAAAAAATGGGCAAAAGATGTGAGCAGGCCTGTCACAAAGAAGTCAAAATGATGAGTGTATATACATGGAAAGGGTACGTGATTAGAAGGGTCTCTCAGGGGCTTACTGGTGCCAATGATGTTCTTTTTTATTTACTTGATTGCTGGTTACACAGATATCTGATTTATAATTATTCATGATTTTGTACATCTATGTTTTAGAATGTATATTTTATGTTACATGTGAAAGAAAGATCAAGATGTTTATAGCCAGTTATTTCTATAACACCTTCTAGCAAAAATGAGTAAGATGATAAATTGTCCTTAATTTTATTTATAGCAGACATTTACTTCAGGTAGGGTATGAAAGTTACATTGCTTTAAATAAAATCACTGGTGCAACAGAAAACTCTTTTGATATTATTGTGTGATAAGTTGTCTTCCTATTCAAGCTCTTATCCATAGTTCATTCTTGGTATAAGAAATGAAAGTATGAAAACTAACTCGCCTACTTCCTAGCTGTGTGGTCCTGACTGACCAAGTCACTGACTCTTTAAACCTCTGTTTCTGCTTCATTGTAGAGGTAATAACATTATCTATGTCCTCTGTTTATGGTGGGGATTAAATGAATTATCTTATGCAGGTGCCTAGCACGCAGTAAACATTTAATACTTGGTCATCGTAATAGTTATTAGCATATAATTGTAGTATTTTTATTCCTCAGCTAATTTAAGTAAGAGCAGTCAAACAGTCCTTGATTGCCTTCCAGCCTGTGCTACTTCTTAGGAGGTGACTGCAACTTCTCAAACTTTCAATTTCATCATATGAAATGGAGATAAGTACACTTCTTTAGTTGTAGGGCTTAAATTAGAAAATGTATGCAAAATCTCAGGGTCTGAAATATGGCAGATACCCCTAAGCATGCAGTTGTATCACTCCAGAGGACTCTACTATGGGATAATACCGTGGCAGAAGCTCAGAGAATGAATCATCAACTTAGATTTTCTAAATGAATTCCCAGTGAGCCTCTGTTCCTTGAGCATTCTCAAAATGTGACAGCTATAGCTATTCCTGCTTTTTGTCAAATGTGACATCCCTTCTGATATAGTTTGTGTATTTTTCCCAGCCCAAATCTCATGTTGAATTGTAATCTCCAATGCTGGAGGTGGGGCCTGGTGGAATGTGTTTGGGTCATGGGGAAAATCCCCCATGGCTTGGTGCTGTCGTCATAATAGTGAGTTCTCTCAAGATAACATCTTTTAAAAGTGTGTGGTACCTTCCCCATCCCACTTTCACCACATGACACGCCTACTCCCTTCACCTTCAGTCATGACTATAAGCTTCCTGAGGCCTCCTTAGAAGCCAATGAGATACCAGCGTCATGCATCCTGTAAAGCCTGCAGAACCATGAGCCAATTAAACCTATTTTATTTCTAATGTACCCAGATTTAGGTATTTATTAGCAATGCAAGAATGGTCTAACACAGAAAATTGGTACCGAGGACTGTGGCATTGTAATAGAGATCATTGAAAATGTGGAGGCAGCTTTGGAACTGGGTAACAAGCAGACGTTGGAAGAGTTTGGGGGCCTCAGAAGACAGGAAGATGAAGGAAAGTTTGAAACTTCTTACAGACTGGTTAAGTGGATGCGACCAAAATGCTGGTAGTGACATGGACAGTGAAGTCCAGGCTTCTGAGATCTCAGGTGAAAATGAGAAACTTAGTGGGAAGTGGAGCACAGGTCAGGTATGTTATGCTTTAGCAAAGAGCTTGGCTACTTTCTGTTCGTGACTTGGAGGTCTGTAGAAGTTTGAGCTTGAGAGTGATGACCCTAAAATATCTGGCAGAAGAAATATCTGAGCAGCAAAGTGTTCAAGATTTTGCTTCTAACAGCCTTTGTTCAGATGCAGTAGCAAAGGAATGACTTAAAGTTGGAACTTATATTTAAACAGGAAGCAGAGTGTTAGAGTTTGGGAAATTTGCAGCCTAGCCACATGGCAAAGAAAGAAAAGCTTTTAAGGAGAAGAATTCAAGCAAGCTGCAGAGCAACCACTTCCTGGAGATATTTGCATGGGTGAAAGAGAGCCAACTGCTAACATTAAAGACAATGGAGAAAAGGCTTTGAAGGCATTTTAGAGTCCTTCCTGGCAGCCCCTCCCATCACAGTCCCAGGGCCCTGCTGCTCTAAATAGCCTCTGGAGGGTGTTCCCAACATCCCAGCTGCTCTACCTGTAGCTCAAAGGGGCCCAGGTACAGCTCAGGCTGCTACTTTGGAGAACGCAAGTCATACGCCTTAGCAGCTTCCACATGGTGTTAAGCCTTTAGGTGCACAGAATATAAGACTGAACATTTGGCAGCCTCTGCTTAGATTTCGGAGGATGTATGGAAAATTCTGGGTGCCCAGGCAGAAGGCTGCTACAGGGTAGAACCCCCCCAGAGAATTCCTACTAGGTCAGTTCCACGGGGAAATGTGGGGTTGGAGCCGCCACCCAGAGTCCCCAACGGGGCACTGCCTGGTGGAGCTATGAGATGGCATCCACTGCCTTCCAGATTCCAGAATGGTATACCCACTGTCGGCTTGCACCCTCAGCATGGAAAGCCACAATCAGTCAACTCCAGGCCTTGAAAGCTGCCTCGGGGCTGAACCCTGCAAAAACAACAGAGGCAGAGCTGCCCGACACTGTGGGAGCCCACCCCTTGCACCAGTGTGCCCTGGATGTGGGACATGGACTCAAAAGAGATTATTTTTGAACTTTAAGATTTAGTAACTGCCTGCTGGATTTCAAACCTGCGTGAGGCCTGTAGCCCCTTTCTTTTGGCCAGTTTTTCACTTTGGAATAGCAATGTTTACCCAATGCCTATTCACCCCTTGTCTCTTGGGGAAAAAAAAAGTTAAGTTTCATAGGTGGTAGGGATTTGCCTTATCTCAGATCAGACTTTGGACAATGGACTTTTCAGATAATGGTGGAATGAGTTAAGACTTTGGGGGACTGTTAAGAAGGTATGATTGTATTTTTGCAGTGTGAGAAGGACATGAGATTTGGGATGGGCCAAAGGCAGAATGACATAGTTTGGACATTCGTCCCCTCCCAAATCTCACGTTGAATTGTAATTCCCAATTCAGGAGGTGTGAATTGGAGGTGTGAATTGGTGGGAGGTGTTTGGGTCACAGGGCAAATCCCTCATGGCTTGGTGCTATCTTCACAATAGTAAGTTGTTGCGAGATCTAGTCATTTCAGAGTGTGTGGCACCTCCCTTCCACTCTCTCCCGTTTCTGCTTACATCCACCATGATTGTAAGCTTCTCGAGGACTCCCTAGAAGCTGAGTAGATGCCAGCACCATGCTTCCTATAAAGCCTGAAGAACTGCAAGTCAAACCTCTTTTCTTTATAAATTATACAGTGTCAGGTACTTCTTTATATAGCAATGCAAGAATGGCCTAATATACCTTCTGCATAAAGAGAACTACAAAACACTGATAAAAGCAATCATAGATGACACGTATATATGGGAAAACATCCCATGCACTTGGAAGGGAAGAATATTATTAACATGACCATACTAACCAAAGAATTCTACAGATTCAATGAAATTCTTGTCAAATTACCAATGTCATTTTTTACAGAATTAGAAAAAAAAAATCCTAAAGGTCATATGAAATCAAAAAAGATTTAATAGCAAAGCAATCCTAAGCAAAAAGAGCAAAACTGGAGGCATAACATTACCTGACTTGAAATTATACTATAATTCTATCTATAGTAACCAGAACAACATGGTACTGGTATAAAAATAGACATATACCTCAATGGAACAGAATAGAGAACCCAGAAATAAAGCCACCTACATACAACCAAGTGATCTTCAACAAAGTCAATGAAAATATATGCTGGAGAAGTATACCTTATTTAATAAATAGTGCTGAAAAAATTGGGTAGTCATATGTAGAAAAATGAAACTGGATCCGTACCTCTCACCATATACAAGAATTAACTCAAGATAAAGACATAAATGTAAAACCTGAAACTATAAAAATACTAGAAGAAAACCTAGGAAATTCTTCTGGACATTGGCCTAGGAAAATAATTAATGACTAAGTCATCAAAAGCAAATGTAATGAAACCAAAAATAGACAAATGGGACTTAAAGCGTCTGTAAAGAAAAACAAAAAAACCTACAGATGTTTGCAAGTGTTGCATCTGACAAAGGGCTAACATCCAGAATCTACAATAAATTCAAACAACTCAATAACAAAAAAGCAAACAGTCCCATTAAAAAGTGGGCCAAGGATAAGAATAAACATTTTTCAAAAGAAGACATGCAAATGGTCAATACATTTATGAAAAAATGCTCAATATCACAAATCAGAGAAATTCAAATTAAAACCAAAATGAGGTATCATCTTACACCAGTCAGAAGGGCTATTATTAAAAAGTCAGGAAACAACAGATGTTGGTGAGTATGTGGAGAAAAGCGAACACTTAGAGACCCTTGGCAGGAGTGTAAATTAATATAACCTGTATGGAAAACAGTATGGAGATTTCTGAAAGAACTAAAAATGGCACTACCATTTGATCCAGCAATCCCACTACTGGGAATCTCCCCCCACCAAAAAAAGGAATTATATCAAAAAAGATACCTGCACTCTGATGTTTATTATAGCACTATTCACAATAGCAAAGTCATGGAAACAAACTAAGTATCAATGGAGCATTAAAGAAGGAAAATATGGTATATAAACCATGAAATACTACTCAGTTATAAAACAATGAAATCATGTTTTTTGCAGCAACATGGATGGAACTGGAGGCCATTATCTTAAGTGAGGTAACTCAGAAATAGAAAGTCAACTATCACATGTTCTCACTTATAAGTGAAAGCTAAACAATGAGTACACATGGATATACAGAGTGGAATAACAGGCATTAGATACTTAAAATGGTGGGAGGTCGGAGGGGGTAAGGGTTAAAAAAATCACCTACTGGGTATAATGTTCACTATTCAGGTGATGGCTACACTAAGGGCCCAGACTTCACCATTATGCAATACATTCACGTAAGAAATCTGTACTTGTACCCCTTAAACATAAACATTAAGAAAATTAAGATGTATTCTTATTCCCTAGCCCCGAGTGTTTATTTTTTGACAGATGTTTGTATGCTAATAGAAATTTCAGAAAGCCATACACATTCTGAAAATTAATCTAATTATAATCTGTTTACAATTATCTTTCACTTGACTCAGACCCTGATAGTAACTTATGGTCATAGACTTGATATCTGTGTGACATTCTGGCAAGTCCTCTAGACCTGTTTCCACATCTGCAAGGAGAAGTGGTAATAATAAAAATTTATTGATGTATACCAATGCTGGGTACTAAAGAAGGTACTTAATATATCAGCATTTACTTTTAATGACTATAAACCATACAAGATAAGTACTATTGTTTTGATTTTCAGTTTTACAGATGAGAAAAATGAAACAGTTTAAGTAAACTGTCTAAGATTATGCTGTGGATACATCAAGATTGGAGTTCAGGTCATTCTATTGTCAAAATCCAAATTCTACAGTACCTCATGGCTTCTCAATAACGGAATATCTACTGCATGACAATCTACATTCATCATTCTCATAATCTTGCAAGATTGAAGAACTATTACTCATGCAATGCCTGGCATGGAGCCCAATGTGAAGCAGACACAAAAAATAGTATGTTTAGCCTTCTTTTTCCCAGTTCTGAAAAAAAAAAAAAACCACCACCCAAAATCAAACCACTTTTCTTTTTTTAACTGGATAACAGAATCTATTAAGACATTTGTTCTTCCCACATATTTAACATTTAGTCCATCTATATGGTAATATATGTAGTAACATTGTTATAAAAAAGTCTTGAAATGTAAGCTATTGGAAGCACATTTTACATGGCAATGGAACAAAAATGACGTATTTTAAAATTGAGCCAGTAATAATCCTTTTTTTTAAACAAAGATTCACAAATTCATGAGTCATTCTGGGTGCTTCAGAGGATCCCTTAAATAATCTGAAATTGCATGCAAAATGTGTACGTTTGAGCAGCAGCTCGTTTGTTTGTAATTAGAATTCTGAATTTTCGTAAGATTTGTGTAGGATTCATGATCTTAAATGCTTTAGAACCACCATCATAAAATAAATTCAATTTTTCTGAAGGTAGGCATTTTAATTGCCTGCTCTTCACCTCATTGATGAGGGAGGGATTCATAGCCTAGGGTTATGGAGATGGCCAAACATGACACCTGACACTGCACAGGTGAGATCAATAGCAATTTGTCAGTCACAATCCAGTGGAGGAAGACACTACACACCATGCAGGGCCAAACAGGGGTTGCACTTGTAAAGAGTGAACATGTAATCACTGTGGGAGGCAGGATTTATAGTATCAAGAGTGAAATGTGCCTAGTTCTTCTGGAGTGTGTGATTGGCTTCCTTGCCAGCTGTAGGCTGGAAAAGAACTGAAACTCCTTACTCAGGGATAAGCAGGAACTGTACTTGGTCCTGGTAATAAGAGATTGTTTGGGGGGAACCTTATCTGCAGGAGCAGAGTAGGGAGGGAAACTTTCAGTTAGGCCATCTGAAGCCTTCCTGATTTTACCAGATGTCAAGGCAGCATATTACGTCAGTCCTTAATTTTAGGTCTTACACCACAAAAGGTTGGCAAGACGTATTAACAGTCTTTAAACCATATATGATCTTTCACCTCGGGGCTCCTCTTTTAGACG
This sequence comes from Homo sapiens, assembly GCF_000001405.40. Lineage (NCBI taxonomy): Eukaryota > Metazoa > Chordata > Mammalia > Primates > Hominidae > Homo > Homo sapiens. The sequence continues at coordinate 147,680,625 of NC_000023.11, forward strand.
TTTATCCCTTATGAAAATAAGATATTTGCACAGCACAGAGTTGTATTTAATAGAGAAAAATCCAAAGAAATGTAAATGTCTGTCATTGAGAAAAGAGTAACATTTTGGCATATTCAAATAATGGAATACTATCTATCATTAGTTTAAAATGCCAAAAAAAAAAAATGACATGACATGAAACAATCTCCAGGTGTTAAAGAAGTTTAAAATAGACTATATATATTCTATTTTCTGTATATTTGCATAGAAATAATGCTGGAAGAATATGTTCCAAAATGTTACCAGTGATTCACTTTCCATAGTGAGATTGCCGATGACTTATCTTTTTCCTTTTGTGTATGTATATTTTCCAAAAATTTCTCTAATAAACACGTGTTCCTTGTGTAATAACAAAATAGTTTTACCCACTCACCAATTGCATGTTTGACCTAACACATAAGCAACCATCAATCTTATAGAGGTAAACAGGTTAAGGGGAAAGATGTTGTTCTTAAAAATAAATGCAGAACTGGGATGGTAGATAAGAAACAGGGCTAATGTGCAGCTCCCACTCGGACAGACAAAACAGCATGTGGAGACTCACACTGTGATCTTTTGCTCCAAAAACCACCACGGGAACACACCAGGAAAACAAAATAATTCACATATCCTTTGAAAGAAGCAGCATGCTGCTGCAAATTCTGCAAGACAGGCTAAAAACTGTGAGTTCCTAAAGTGTGAGAGAAGGAAAACTTACCTTAGAACACACACCCACACTAAAGAATCTGAAAATCCAGATCATAAGAGGATTTAACCTAACCTAGAGCTGAAATAGACTCAGGGAGTGGTACAAAACATACAAGTAGAAGTAGCAGTGGAAAGTGCCTTGCAGATACTCCCAGTCTCCAGCCCTAGCTTATAGAAGCCATCCCTGACTATCTCGCAGGGGCCCTCAGGGAAGGTACCCAGCTAAATTGGAGAGGGGTAGCAGGGTAAAGGAAGCTTCCAACTGAAGTTGGTAGTGTTTTTGACTGGGCATAAATTCTCCTGAGTGGAGTCCCGGGGATGAGTGGGAACTGCTGTAGATTCCAGCACAGGATGGCAGGAGCCACAGCCCAAGGAGTGGGCAGACAGGGAGGGGTGAGGTTATGCTTTCTCAGTGGGGAAGCTCATGGACTGAAGGAAACTGAGGGTAGGGGGCACTGTGGGAGGGCCTTGTCAACTGCCTGGGAGCTGGATGAGGACTCTCAGCTATCCCCCACTTCCTGGCAAACTGTATGACACAGCAGAGGCTCCCCTCTGGAACACAACCCGACTGGTCTGAGAACCACCCCCAACCCTCACCGAGACCACACAGCAAGCCCCCTCAAGGAAAGGTTGAGCCCAGAGCTGCCTAACCCTGCCCCCACATGATGGCATTTCTCTACCCACCCTGGTAGCCAATGACAAGAGAGAAACTCTTGGGAGCTTTATGGCCCCACCCATTGCCTGAGAAACCAAAATACTTACCCTGGCCAATTTAAGACAAGCATAGATCCCCTACTACTACTGCAGCTGGTGCTCTCTTGAAAGTGCCACCTCCTGCTGCTAACAAACTCAGGCCATTACAGCAACTCATGACAAAATAATCCTGATCCCAGGAAAGAAAAGACAACAGCTAATTCCACTACCTACAACATCCTGGCTAACCAGAGGTACTGAGTGTGTCCATATGACAACTTCACTGCTAGCACAACCAGCATTCAAGAAAGCCAGCAAACTAAACGTACCTACAAAACTAAGGTCTCTCACACAGTCTACTTCACTTCCCTGCTGCCTCCACCAAAGCAGGTGCTGGTATCCAGGGCTGGAAGACCTCAAGATGAACCAGATCACAGGACTCTTTGCAGATATCTCCCAGCACAAGCCCAGAGCCTGGTAGCCCCACTGGGTGGCTAGACTTAGAAGAGCAATAGCAATCACTGCAGTTGGGCTCTCAGGAACCCCCATCCCTAGGGGAAGGAGGAGAGTAGCACATCAAGGGATCACCATGTGGGACAAGAGAATCTAAACAGAAAGGCTTGAGTTTCAGACCTCTACACTGAAATAGCCTACTCAATGATAAGGAACCAGAAAAGTAATTCTAATATGACAAAACAGGGTTCTACAACATCCCCCAAAAATTACACCAGCCCCCCAACAGTGGATTCACAAGAAGAAATCTCTGAATTGCCAGCTAAAGAATTCAGAAGGTTGATTCAGCTATTCAAGGAGATACCAGGGAAAGGTGAAAAACAATTTAAATAAGTTTAAAAAACAATACAGATAAGTTTTTTATCAATGGATAAGTTCTCCAGAAAAATAGAGAAAACAATCACAACTTCTGGAAATGAAATACACTTAAAGAAATACAAAATGCAGTGGAAAGTTTCAAGAATAGACTAAATAGAACAACTTCAGAGCTCAAAGACAAGGCTTTTGAATTAATCATACAAGGAAAAATAAAAAACAATTAAAAATAATGAACAAAGCCAAGAAATTTGGGATTATATTAAATGGCAAAACCTAAGAATTGGTATTCATGAGGAAGAAGAGAAATCTACAAGTTTTGAAAACATATTTGGGGGAATAATCGAGGAAAACTTTCCTGGCATTGTCAGAGAGCTATATATCTGAATATAAGAAGCACAAAGAACACCTGGAAAATTCATTGTAAAAAGACCATCACCTAGGCACATAGTCATCAGGTTATTTAAATTCAACATGAAGGAAAGAATCTCAAGAGCTTTGAGACAAAAGCATCAGATAACCTACAAAGGAAAACCTATCCGATTAACAGCACATTTCTCAGCAGAAACCTTACAAGACAGAAGAGTTTAAGGTCTCATCTTTAGCCTCCTGAAACAAAATAATTGTCATCCAAAATTTTGTTTCTAGAAAAACTAAGTTTCATGAAGGGGAGATAGTCTTTTTCAGACTAGCAAATGCCGAGATAATTTGCTAAAAGGAGTTCTAAATCTTGAAACAAAACCTCAAAATATACCAAAATAGAACCTCCTTAAAGAATAAATCTCACAGGGCCTATAAAACACAATGAAAAAAAAAATCAAGGTATTAAGACAACAATTAGCATGATGAAATAGAACAGTACCCCACATGTCAATATTAATATTGAATGTAAATGGCCTAAATGTTCCACTTAAAAGATACAGAATGGCAGAATGGATAAAAATCCACCAACCAGGTATTGGTGGTCTTCAAGAGACTCACCTAACACATAAGTACACACAAACTCAAAGTAAAGGGGTAGAAAAAGATATTCCATACAAACGAAAACCAAAAGTGAGCAGAGTAGCTATTCTTGTATCAGAGAGAACAGGCTTTAAAGCAACAGAAACACACACACACACACACACACACACACACACACACACACCAAAGAGGGACATTATATAATGATAAAAAGATTAGTCCAACAAGAAAATATCACAGTCCTAAATATATATGCATGTCACACTGGAGCTCCCAAATTTATAAAACAATTGCTACTAGACCTAAGAAATGAGATAGACAGCAACACAATAATATCCGGGGACTTCAATACTTCACTGACAGCACTAGACAGGTCATCAAGACAGAAAGTCAACAAAAACAATGGACTTAAACTATTCCATAGAACAAATGGACTTAACAGATATTTACAGAACATTCTCTCCAACAACTGCAGAATATACATTCTTTTTTCCAGCACATGGAATATTCTCTAAGATAAACTATATGATAGGTCACAAAAGAAGTCTCAATAAATTTAAGAAAACCAAAACTATGGCCGGGTGCAGTGGCTCATGCCTGTAATCCCAGCACTTTGGGAGGCCGAGGTGGGTGGATCACGAGGTCAGGAGATCAAGACCATCCTGGCTAACACGGTGAAACCCTGTCTCTACTAAAAATACAAAAAATTAGCAGGGCGTGGTGGCGGGTGCTTGTAGTCCCAGCTACTTGGGAGGCTGAGGCGGGAGAATGGCATAAACCTGGGAGGCAGAGCTTGCAGTGAGCTGAGATCGTGCCACTGCACTCCAGCCTGGGCGAGACAGCGAAACTCCATCTCAAAAAAAAAAAAAAAAAAAAAAAAAGAAAACCAAAACTGTGTCAAGTATCCTCTCAGACTACATTGGAATAAAACTGGAAATTAACTCCAAAAGAAACCCTAAACTATACAAATACATGGAAATTAAATAATCTGCTCTTGAATGATCTTTGGATTAACAATGAAGTTAAGACAGAAATTATTTTTTGAGCTGAATAATACTGGCACAACCTATCAAAACCTCTGTGATACAGCAAAAGTAGTGCTGAGAGGAAAGTTCATAGCATTAAATGCCCACATCAAAAAAGTCTGAAAAAGGATAAACAATCTAAGGTCACACCTCAGGGAACTGGAGAAAAATGAACAATTCAAACCCAAAACCAGCAGAAGAAAAGAAATAACAAAGATCACAGTGGAACTATTAAAATTAAACCAAAATAAAAAATACAAAAGATAAATGAAACAAAAACCTGGGTCTTTGAAAAGAAAAACAAAATTGATAGACCATTAATGAGTTGAACCAAGAAAAGAAAGAAGATCCAAATAAGCTCAATTAGAAATGAAATGGGGCCAGGCGTGGTGGCTCACACCTGTAATCCTAGCACTTTGGGAGGCCAGGTTGGCAGATCATGGAGGTCAGGAGATTGAGACCATTCTGGCTTACACTGTGAAACCCAGTCTCTACTAAAGAAACAAAAAGTTAGCCGGGCGTGATGGCACACACCTGTAGCCCCAGCTACTCGGGAGGCTGAGGCAGGAGAATCACTTGAACTCAGGAGGTGGAGGTTTCAGTGAGCCAAGATTGCACCATTGCACTCCAGCCTGGGCTACAGAATGAGACTCCATCTCCAAAAGAAAAAAAAAGAAAAAGAAAAAGAAATTGGAGCTATTAGAACCAATACTACAGAAATACGGAAGATCATTCAAGGCTACTGTGAACACCTTCACACACACACAAACTAGAAAACCTAGAGGAGATGAATTCCTGAGAATATACAGCCCTCCTAGATTAAGCCAGGAAAAAAAATAGAAACTGAATAGACCAATAACAAGTAGCAGGATTGAAACAGTAAGAAATTGCCAAACAAAAAGCCCAGGACTAGATGGATTCACAGCTGAATTCTATCAGACATTCAAAGAAGAATTGATACCAATTTTACTGAAATTAATCCAAAAGAAAAAGGGAATCCTCTATAAATCATTCTATGAAGCCGGAATCATCCTAATCTCCCAATCAGGAAAGGATATAACAAACAAACAGAAACTACAGACCAATATCCCTGAAGAATAGGTACAAAAATCCACAAGATACTAGCTAAATGAATCCAATAGCATATTAAAAAAGATAATATACCATGATCAAGTGGGTTTCATACCAGGGATGCAGGGATGGTTTAAGATAAGCAAGTCAATAAATGTGATACAGCACATAAACAGAATTTAAAAGAAAAATATGATCATTTCAATAGATGCTGAAAAGTTTGACAAAATTGAGCATCCCTTTATGATTAAAAACCCCAGCAAACTTGGCACAGAAGGGACATACCTCAAAGGTAATAAAAACCATCTATGAGAAACCCACAGCCAACATTATAGTGAATGGGGAAAAGTTGAAAGTATTCCCCCCCGAGAATTGGAACAAGACAAGGATGCCCACTTTTACCATTTCTATTCAACATGGTCCTGGAAGTCCTAGCCAGAGCAATCAAACAAAAGAAATAAAGGGCATCCAAATCAGTAAAGAGGAAATCAAACTGTTGTTTGCTGATGATATGATTGTATACCTAGAAAACCCTAGAGACTCATCTAAAAAGCTCCTAGGTGTGATAACTGAATTCAGTAATTTCAGCATACAAAATTATTGTACACAAATCAGTAGCACTGCTATAGACCAACAATGACCAAGCTCAGAATGAAATCAATAACTCAATTCCTTTTACAACAGCTGCAAAAAAATAGGAACATACCTAAGCAGGTGAAAGGCTTCTACAAGGAAAACTAAAAGACACTGCTGAAAGAAATCATTAATGACACAAATTAACACACATCCCATGCTCATGGATGGGTAGAATCAATATTGCAAAAACGACCAATACTTCCAAAAGCAATCCACAGATTAATGCAATTCCTGTCAAAGCAGCATCATTCCTCACAGAACTAGAAAAAAAAAATCCTAAAATACATATAGAACCAAAAAAGAGCCCACATAGCCAAAGCAAGATTAAGCAAAAAGAACAAATCTGGAGGCATCACATTACCTGACTTTGAACTGTGCTACAAAGGCTATAGTTATCAAAACAGCATGGTGTTGGTATAAAAATAGGCACATAGACCAACAGAACAGAATAGAGAATCCAGAAATAAAGCCAAATACTTACAGTCAACTGACCTTCAACAAAGCAAACAAAAACAAAGTGGAGAAAGGACAACCTTTTCAAGAAATGGTGCTGGAATAATTGGCAAGCCATGTGTAGAAGAATGAAACTGGATCCTCATCTCTCACCCTATACAAAAATTAACTCAAGATGGATCAAAGACTTAAATCTAAGACCTGAAACCATAAAAATTCTAGAACATTGGAAAAACCCTCCCTTCTAGACATTGGCAAAGACTTCGTCACCAAGAACCCAACAGCAAATCCATCAATAACAAAGATAAATAGACAGAACCTAATTGAACTAAAAGCTTATGCACAGCAAAATAAGTTATCAGCAGAGTTAAACCAACAACTTACAGAATGGGAGAAAATATTCTCAAACTAAGTATCCAACAAAGAATATCCAGAATCTACAAGGAACTCAAATCAGCAAGAGAAAAAAATAATCACATCAAAAAGTGGACAAAGGACATTAGTAGACAATTCTCAAGAGATATACAAATGGCCAAACGTGAAAAATGCTCAAGATCTCTAGTTATCAGGAAAAATGCAAACTAAAAGCAAAATGAGATGCCACCTTACCCCTGCAAGAATGGCCATAATTAAGCAATCAAAAAATCATAGATGTTGGCATGGATGTGTTGAAAAGGGAGTACTTTTACAATGCTACTGGGAATGTAAACTAGTACAAACACTATGGAAAACAGTATAGAGATTCCTTAAAGAACAAAAAGTAGATCTACCGTTTGATCCAGCAATCCCACTACTAGCTATCTACCCAGAGTAAAGGAGTCATTATATGAAAAAGACACTTGCAGACACATGTTTACAATAGCATAATTCACAACTGCAAATATGTGAAACCAGCCTAAATGCCCATGAACCAACGAATGGAAAAAGAAAATGTGTGTATACACAGTGGAATACTACTCAGCCGTATAAAGAAACAAAATAATGGCACTGGCAGCAACCTGGATGGAGCTGGAGACCATTCTAAGTGAAGTAACTCAGGAATGGAAAATCAAGTATCATATGTTCTCACTTTTAAGTGGGATCTAAGCTATGAGGATGCAAAGGCACAAGAATGATATTATGAACTTTGGGGACTCGTGGGGAAGGGTAGGATGGGGGTGATGGATAAAAGACTATACTTAAGTACAGTGTACACTGCTTAGGTGATGCATGCGTCAAAATCTCAAAAATTACCACTCAAGAACTTATCCATGTAACAAAAAAACCCCACCTGTTCCCCAAAAACTACTGAAATAAAAGAATTAAAAATATGCTTAAAAATGAATACTGAACCAGCCATTCATTCTTGAAATGGGACTGTGAAATATAAGTTGTGCTAAGCTTAGTAAATGTACGATTAGCACTATAGTTAATTTTCATCTAATAAATTGTATTCAGGTTTTACTTGTTACCCATTACATACTTAAACAATGTCCTTTCTGTCAGAGATGCAACATTGCTGGCTTTGAAGATGGAGGAAGGGACCACAGGCTGAAGAATGAGAAGGTATTTTTAGAAGCTGCCAAAGACAAGGAAACAACTATTCTTTGATCTACCAGAGAACTCAGATACTAGATCCTTTTTAAAAAAAAAAAAGTGTAGCACGGTAGATACCTTAAATTTAGCCCAGTAAGACCCATTTTATATTTCTACCCTACAGAACTGTAGTATAAATTGTGTTGTTTAAGCCACAGTGTTTGTAATAATTTGTTACAGCAGCAATAGGAAACTAATACAGTCAGCAAAGAAATCTATCACTTTTTAACACTCTCCCTCTTCCAAACCCTTTCCCTTCCTAGATGCTTCATAACTTCATTTAAATGCTGGTAACTCGGAGACAGATAAGGGAATGGCAAATGGCAAAGCTCCTGCTTTAATGGATTTCCTCTGTGAAGATGCAAGGACTAGGAAAACGTATTTTTAATCTTTTGCTCACTTAAAATTAACTAGAAAAAATATTGAGACAGATGGTCTCCCTCATGCTGCCTTAGCATTTTGGCATGTTCCATTTAATATGTCCCTTATGTTCCCAATTCAGAGCAAAAAATCCCATTACTGTAAGGGCATTGTAGTGTTTTTACACCCTCACTTTTGTACGTTTTAACAGAAGAGATGAGAATACATAGTGGATAGTTACAGGTGAAAAACAGAGCTGAAAGTAATGTACTCTGAACAAATACAATGAACACTTCACATTTAGGCCATGAACCATTGCTGAGGAGACAGTATGGAGGAAGGGATAGCAAGGAATGTATTTTAGTCCTCGTGTTTGCTCATACTTATTCCTCCAAAGCTTATACTGCAAAATGTAACAAATATGTGAATTCTTCAGCATGGTTAATATTCCTAGAAAATGTCAAATAACCAACTGTCATTATTGCAGTTACCTTTTCCAATGTCTGTCTTCACGATAACCTGATTCAGAAGCAAGATTGGCATGATGATATAAATATCTGTCTCCCAAATTTCTTGTGTTGAAATTCTAACCTCAAAATGATGTTATTAGGAGATGTGACCTCTGGAAGGTGATTAGATCCTGAGACTAGAGCCCTCATGAATGGGATTAATGCCCTTATGAAAAGGGCATTAAGAAACCCTCAGAGAGCTCCCTTGTCCCTTTGACCATGTGAACACACAGGGAAAAGACACCATATAGAACCAGAGAGCAGGCCCCTACCAGACACCAAATCTCCCAGTGCCTTGACTAATATGTATCGATTATTCAGAGTCCTTAATAACAAAATGTTTTCTCAAGAGAAAGTCAACAAGTGGGTCCTCAGCCAGTTTGTAATCTTTCTCAATAGAAAACATTTTTTCAAACATCTTCAAATAGTCTTAGAGGTTTAATGATGTCATTTAGTAAAATTTCACATTCCTCAGTGGTTTTTATCAAACAGTTCTTTAACGTTTCCATAGAGTCAAATTTATGTATTTTAATTTAGAAAAGTGAATAAAAATTTGACATCTGTTTCAACACTGACATTTCACTTGCAGTTATAAATGTAATAATTCTTCAACCTTGTATTGCTAAATTGAGGTTCTGCTCATTAAAAGTTTCACAAAAATATATAAGCTAAAGCAACCATTTTGTGTTTTAGAAAGATTCATCTAATGGAGTTATTTGCCAAAATGGTAGGGGTATTTCTTGCCCTAATATGAACTATTTATAACTTTGACTTAGTATAGCTAATGAGCTGCAGTATGAAAAATAAATTCTCGAACTCACTGCCCACATCATGAGAAATAGCTGTCAAATATCAAATTAGAGTCAATGTCTTAAAATGAAAAATTATATGCCATAATTTCACAAAATTTTGAAAGATGCTTATAGGTTATTTGATGGGAGAAACACTTGTGAGGGCAAAGAGGGAGGATTCGCAAGAGGTAGGGAAAGCCTCAGACCATCATCTATGTCTGATCCCTCTGAAGGAGGTTTGGGTATCAGGAGTCTCAGATTGCAGCACAGTGCTAGAAAAGTTCTGAACAGGCTAATGGGGAGTCTATGAGCTAAAGCTTCCCATCAGAGGAATCCTGACTATTCTACGAATGGTCTTATATTGAGTATCCTGGCCGTGCTTAGTCATTGAGAGAAGCCCATGGGAAGCATGGCCTTGTCATGAATTTAGTGACAGATTTCTGACCACAGCAGTTGAAGCTGTCAGTCAATTCTCTCTGCAGCAGGAGATCTGCTGCACACATTTCATTTTCATGCCTGACAAAGTGGTGGCATATAAGGACAGAGGCATAATAGGGCCAGATCACATAGGTTCATGTAGGCCATTTGAAGGACTTTGGCTTTTATTCTCACTGAGATGGGACCATTGAAAAGTTGCAAATAGGGGAGTTATGTGATTTAAATTACATACAAACGGGAATATTCTAATTCTTGTGTTGTGAATGGATAAAAGAGATGAAGGGGAAAAGCTGGGAGATGAGTCAAAAGCTATTTTATTAATTCAAGTAAGAGATGGCAATGGCTTGGTGTCTTAGTCTGTTTAATGCTGTTGTAACAGAATACCACAGACTAGGTAATTTATAAAGGAAAGAAATTTGGCTTACAGTTCTGGAGGCTAGGAAGTCCAAGATTGAGGGGCTGACATCTGATGAGCGTCTACTTGCCACATCCTCACATGGTAAAAGGCATCTCATGGGCAAGAGAGTGAAGGGGAGCAAAAGGGGACCAAACTTACTTTTATAACAAACCCACTCTGACAATAACCAATACACTCCTGAGATAATGACATTAACCCATTCATTAAGGCAAAACTTTCATGACTTAACTCTTAAATGTCCCACCTCTCAATATTTTTGCATTGGGGATTAGGTTTCCAACACAAACATTGGGAGACACATTCAAACCATGTCACTTGGACTACAACTTTAGCAAAAGAGGTGATAAGAAGTGGGTGGTGTTTAGATAGATAAAGTAGAGTCAACAGAATTTGCAAATAGATTGAATGTGAAGTGTGAGCAAGAGGAGTCAAAAATCATTCAAAGGGTTTTGGCCTGAGCAATTGGAAAAAATGGAGCTTACATTAACAGACATGCAAAGACTTTGGGGATAGCAGGTTTCAGAGGGATTATTAGGTTTTCTGTTTGGACAGGTTCTGTTTGGAGGTGTCCAAATAAAGATGCCAAACTGGATGTATGAATCAGAGGACAGGTCCAGGTTAGAGATAGAAATTTGGAAGTTCTGACTATGTAGATGTTAATTAATGTTGTGAAACTAGATAGAATCACCGAGGCAATTTAGATAGATAAGAGGACCAAGAACTGAACCTGGAGCACCCAGCATTAAGAGGCCAGGAAGATAAAAGATCAGCAAAGGAGGCTGAGAAGAAGCAATCAGTGAAGCAAGAAAACATGTGGTGAAGAAGCCAAGACAAAAAAAAAAAAAAAAAGTTTTGAATGTGCCCAATCATGTCAGACACTGCTGCTATATCAAACAACAAGAGGCCTGAAAATTTTACCTTAAATTTATAACACCGATGATGCTGATAAGAGAAATTTCAATGAAGGCAAAAGTTTAAGTGTACTAAATTCAAAAGAAAATGTGAGGAGAGAAATTGGAGAGAGCATAGAAAACTTTTTCAAAAAGTTTCTTTAAATGGGAGCAAACGAACATACTGGTAGCCGAAGGGTGACGTGGAGTCTGAGAAACGGAGTCTTTTTCCATCTACTTTGAGGTAGCTTTCTTTGAGTAATGCTTTATACCAGGGGACAGGAAACTTTTCCTGTAACAGAACATGCATAGAAAATAGCTGACTAGAGATGTCAGACACCAGTTCTCAGAAATAAGAGCCAGATTTGCAGGTGAATAATCATAACTCAAATGGAATCAAGTGGAGAGTGCTTGAGTCTAGTGGAAAACTCTTGGGAAGTAGTTAGGGCACAGAAAAAGAAGGAAACAAGAGCTGGCAGAACTTAGAGAGGGACATGGTATTACCTCACAAAAGGGTAGATAGGAATGTTTTTGCCTCCCCCTGCACCTGCAGAAGACTGCTGTTACCTGAACTGTGAGACAGCTTCTCTGATCTTGTGAACCCAAATGCTCATATGTGCATTTGGGGACTTCTTGAGGCTAATACACCAAACTACCAGCTTGTGCTAGGTTACTTGCCCTTACCTCAATCCCAAGTGGCAGTAGCGGGTGCCCTACTAGAAGTGTACCCACTAGGGAACTGTGTCCTGCCCAGGGAACTTTGCCCTTGTGTCTCCACGTCATTGGAGCCCCTGCAGATATCTCTTGGCACCTGCTCAGATTGCAGCAGTCACAGGGCTGGCTGGACCCAGTGGACCTTCAGGGTTCCTAGTGGACTAGCCCTCAAAGAGTGCTGCTCCTAGGGGATGAGAGAATACAGCACCCCAGAAGAGCTGCACTTAGTCCTTTGTCCCTTGGGACAAAAGAAAACAGAGTACATGATTTCCTGTATACAAGAGCTCCCCAAATGTGGGCTGAGAGTGACTACATTGCCTCCAGTGTAGATAATGGCAGTGTGTTTGGCTTTGCAAGGGAATAGTGTGACTCTACGCCAGGGGCCAGGTGGCCTTGGTGCTTGCGCATGACTGGAGAGTGGGATTTCTCCTCCATGCCTACCCACTGCTGTGGGCACAGCCATAGCAGTACCCATGGGAGTTTGGCACAGGCATACTGAAGGATGGCCATTCTAGGGATGTTATGGGCAGCTGCTTCCCCAGTGGCAGTGGGCCAATGAGGCCTAGGTTTACACAAAAGGCGGGCTCCTCCCACTCTCTGCACAGAGCAGCATTGTACCTGAGGTAGAGAGTAGAAGAGCTATGTGTTTTGGACTGAGGGAGGAGATTCTGTGCAGAAGACATTTCAGAAGTAAGCCATGGGACAGGTGTTTTTCATGGCACTCAGCTACATTGCAGCCTGGAGATAGACAGCAGTGTTTCTATCTATAGAAAGACAGCAGTGTTCTATCTTTCCAGGATAGAAAGATGACATTCCTCCCTGCTCAGGCCATGGAGCTGGGGCAACCCCTTCCCCCGCCCCCCCACACACAGATACCTTGGGGCATTTCATCAGGAGCTGCCCCTAACCAACTCCTCCAGTCAGGACTGGTACTTATCCCTGCCACTGAAGTATCCAAAGGTGGGATTGGTAGTTCAGTTCCAGCCAGCTTTGTCCCATCACCGGCTGATCAGGGAGCTCAGGCCACTGTGCATTCCACAGACAACCCCATTGCCTGAGGCATCAGAGAGCTTCTCCTAGTAAACAAAGATCAAATATATACCTATCTGTATCAGCCCTAGCCAACTCTTACTAACAAGCATCACCTAATGACTTGGAGGTTGAACTGCACAACCTAATACAAAATCTGCTGACAAAAGTGCACAGCACTGGGGAACAAGAAAAGATTCCTGAGAACTCTGCCATCCCAGCCCCATAGGGGACAGTGAGCCTGCTAATATGCCCAGTACATTGCTACTACAAACAACAGTAGAAAAAGTCACTACATAAAGGCTATCTATAACCAAGGAACTCACACAGTGTCTTTGCCACTTAAAGCACCCAGAAGCAAAGCCAAACAAACCCACACAACATACATTATAGTCACATCCTCAAGTCGGAAAAATCCTATCTAAATATGAAAGTAAATTCAAAAGTAAAAAGATACAGTTTATCCAAGTAAGAAACCAGAGAAACAACTCTGAAGTATGAAAAAACGGTATTAAAATATCCCCAAAGGATCACATTAACTCTCTAGCAATGGATACAAACCAAAATGAAATCTTTGAACTACCAGAAAGAATTTAAAATGCTGACTTTAAAGAAGCTCAATGAAATCAAAGTTGAAAACCAACACAAATTAGAAAAAGAATTCAGGATATGAATGAAAAAGATACTAAAGAGATATCAAAAAAACTTCTGGAAATGAAAAATTCAGTAAAGTAATGACAAAATACAGTTGAAAGCTTTAATGATGTACTAAATCAAGCAGAAGGAAGGATCTCAGAGCTTGAACAGATCTTTCAAATGAATCCAATCAGTCTAAAATGTAAGATTTTTTTAAATGTACAAAGGTTTCTAGAGGTATGGGATTACATAAAATGTCTGAAAATATGAGTCATAGGTATTCCAGAGGTAGAAGTAGTAGTAAAATGTTTGGAAAATCTACTTAAGGAAATAATTAAGGAAACTTTTCTAGTCTTGCTGGAGATTTAGACATCTAGATACAAGAGGCTTAAAACTTCAACAGGATATGTTGCACGACAAACTTCACCAAAACATACACAGTCTTTGAGTATCTAAAGTCAACGTGAAGGAAAAAATCCTAAAATTAGCAAGAGAAAAGCATCAAATCAACTATAGGAGGAATCCCAGCAGACTAACAGTGGACTGCTCACCAGAAACCTTGCAAGAGATTTGGGTTCTATTTTTAGACTTCTTGAAGAAAAAAAAAAACTGCCAAGAACAAATTTTGTATCCCGCTAAACTAAGCTTCATAAATGAAGGAGAAATAAAGTCTTTCCCAGATAAGCAAATGCTAAGGGAATTTTTCACTAGACTGCCCCTACAAGAGATGATCAAGAAAGTTCTAAGCATAAACACCATGCAATATTTATGAAATTATGAACATCCTTTTTAAAAGAATTAGAAAAAAACAATTTTGATGTTTATGTGCAACCAAAAAACTTGAAAGCCAAAGCAAATCTGGAGGCATCACATTACCTGATTTCAAATTATACTATAAGGATATAGTAAACAAAAAAGCATAGTACTGGTATAAAAATAGACACATAGATAAATGGAACAGAGTAGAGAACCCAGAAATAAAGCCACCTATCCACAATGAACTGATCTTTGAAAAAGTGGACAAAGCCAAACATTTGAGAGAGGACATCCTATTTGAAAAATGATGCTGAAAACATTGAGTAGCCATATGCAAAGAATGAAACTAGATCCATATTTCTCATCATATGTATAAATGAACTCAAGATAGATTAAAGAATTAAATATAAGATGTAAAATTATAAAAACCCTAAAATAAAACATAGGAAAAAATATTCTGGACATTGGCCTAGGCAAAGAATTTATGAGTAAGTCTTCAAGACCACAAACAACAAGAAAAAAATTAGACAAATGGGAATGAAACTAAAATGCTGCTGCACAGCAAAGGAAACTATCAACAGCATCACCAAAGAACATACGGAGTGGGAAAAAGTATTTGCCAACTATTAATATGTATCTGACAAAGGACTAATATTCAGAACCTATAAGGAATTCTAACAACTCAACAAGAAAATGACAACCTCATCAGGAAGTGGGCAAAAGACATAAACAGACATTTTTCAAAAGAAGATACACAATTGGCCAAACAAAAAATGCTCATCATTAATCAGAAATGCAAATTAAAACCACAATGAGAAACTATCTTACATAAGTCAGAATGGCTATTAAAAAGTCAAAAATCAACAGGTGTTGGCAAGGATAAAGAGAAAAGGGAATGCTTATACAGTGTTGGTGGGAATGTAAATTAGTACAACCTCTATGGAAAATAGTATGGAGATTTCTCAGAGAACTAAAAATAGCACCACCATTCAATACAGCAATCCCACTACTATCTACCAGAAGGAAAAAAATAATTATATAAAAAAAGATGCCTGCACTCATATGCCCATCGCTGTACTGTTCACAACAGCAAAGTCATGTAATCAACTTAAATGGCCATTAACAGAGGACTGAATAAAGAATGTGATTGATATATATATACACCTTAGAATAATAGTCATAAAACAGAATGAAGTCATTTTTTGCAGCAACATGGATGGAAGCAGAGGTCATTATCTTAAGTGAAATAACTCAAAGTCAGATGCTGCATGTTCTCACCTATAACTGGGAGTTAAATAATGTATACACATGGATATAAAGAGTTGAATAGACATTGGAGAGTCTAAGAGGTGGAAGGGTGGAAGGGGGTAAGGGATGAGAAGTTACCTTTTGAGTATAATGTATACTATTTGGGTTATGTTACATGAAAAGCCCAGACTTCACCACTATGCAATATATCCATGTAACAGAACTGCACTTGTATACCCTGTATCTATAAAAATAAAAAAGGAAAACTTTTTCTGTAAAGAGCCAGATAAACTTTCGAGCCATATAGTCTCTGCCACAACTACTCAGCTCTGCCATTTCAGTGCAATAGCAGCCAAAGACAATATAGGAACAAAGAAGCATGGCTCTGTGCCAATAAAATTTTATTTATGAAAATAGGTGTGGGCCAGATTTGGTCATTGGATATAGTTTGGCAACACTTGCTTTACACAATCTAGTTCCAGTAACTATTTATAATAGCAATTTAGAAATATGTATTAAGTGCCTACAACATGGCAGGCACATTTCTAATCCTCATGAATATAGTGGTGAATGAGAAAAGGCATTGGCTCTTTGATAATCTTCTAAGGTAATCTTCTTATGGTAAATCTTCTAAGATTTACCTTTCTAGGTCTAGGACTAAGCCTCCTCCTTACTCCTTCTGCACCCAGCCCCTAAACTACATCCCAATTTAATCATGTAGCTTCATCCTGAGGCTGCTTTTACTTTTTCCAGGATTAGACTCACAGCGCCTTTCCTCGCTCATGTTTTATTTTCCCAAAAGGAGCAATTCTGTATTTTCACAAAGCAACAACTTTTACATGACAATATTGCAATAACCTTTGCATCAAAAAATTATAAGAATGTGGCATTTCTCTGCCTCTTCCAGGCCCAAAGATTCACTCTCACATTATATGAATGCAGACATCTGTCATAGCACAAATGTGACAGCCCAGCTTTTTTTTTGTCTCTTCTGGCTGACCTGCCAGAGCATCTTGTTTATCTCTGTGGCAGCAGGTGCAGCCATGTCCATGGAACCCAGGTTCTTTTTGTGCTTCTGGAACAGTCTTTCTGAACATGGTCTCTGGGAGGTCATTCTACTCCATGAAGACAGGGAGTAGAAAGGGGAGGATCTCTCCAGTATCCATTGAAACTAGAAATTGCAAGTTCAGTGCTGGCTATAGCTGACCATTTCTTTGAGGGTATTCTCACCTCCCTTCCCCCTAATCTGTAATCCCCATGAGTCCCCAGTAAAGTCTTCTACATCAAATAAAGCTGGATGAAAAATCTATTTGAAGACAGCTGTGTTACGTATAAGGTCAAGGTCAGAATTCATAATATGGCTATAAGCTACAAGTGTTAGAAAAATTATTCTAATTTTTAAAAAGGAAGAAGGAGGAGGAAAAGAGGAGGGGGCTTTCATATAATGGCGAGAACTTTAAACTTGAATTTGACCATGGGCAAGTCCCCTTAACAACTGATTCTGCATTTCTTCAGTTGTCAAAATGGGAATAGTACTACCTCCATTAAATAAGGTAACTTGAAAATTATGATACCCTTATAAAGACATTTAGTAGATGTTTTCTCTATCTGAAAAGCAATCAAGGACAGTCTGGTGTGTTGGTTAGATTCTATTACAGCTGTCTGTTAAATGAAGAAGTTACTACTATAGCTGTTGGTTCCAGAACTGCGCCAGCATTGCTTCAATTCTCACCAAAGTGGATGCTTCACGTGCTGCCTCCCTCCTTTTTACCTAAGTTCCAAGTTCAAGTCTCATTTGAGTACATCTAATTGGCAGAATATAAATCATATCCAGAACCTCAGCTGTAAGAGAGGTTCTAGCCTCTGCAATACAGGAAAAGTTATTGAAAGAGGCTAGAATGGGTGGTAAATAACCCAGTTCATAGGTTCCTATGTACTCTACATATAAGTTGAAATTTGGTCCCCATGAAATTCACCCTCTGGTGTCATTCCTTTGTATATGTTGCATTACATGGCTAAAGGACTTTGACCATGAACTCAAGATAGGGAGAGTTCCCTGAATTATCCAGGTGGGCCAAATGTAATATCATAAGCCCTTAAAAGCAGAACATGAGGTAGGAAGATGCAGCAGAAAAGGAATGTAGAAAGAGATTTAAAGGCCTGGTGTGGTGGCTCACGCCTGTAATCGCAGCACTTTGGGAGGCCAAGGTGGGGGGATTATGAGGTCAAGAGATCGAGACCACCTGGCCAACATGGTGAAACCCCATCACTACTAAAAATATAAAAATTAGCTGGGTGTGGTAGAACGCGCCTGTAGTCCCAGCTTCTTGGGAGACTGAGGCAGGAGAATCGCTTGAACCCGGGAGGCGGAGGTTGTAGTGAGCTGAGACTGCGCCACTGCACTCCAGCCTGGCAACAGAGTGAGACTCTGTCTTTAAAAAAAGCCTGAGAAGCACTCAGCCCATTGTTGCTCTCTGGAATATGGAGGGAGTCATATGGAAATCATAAGCAAGAGCTGAATTCTTCAAACAACCTGAAGAAGCTTAGAAGTTGATTCTCCTCACATGAGAGGCTAAAGATGGTCAAAGTGGTTCCAGGCCAGTCACCACCTTAATTTTGCATAAGGGTTCAGTAAAGATGGTGGGAGAAGCTGCAAAATAAACACAAACCATCTTAGAAAGCCGGAAGGTTTTTGCAGTAACCTCAGGATAGAGTTATAGCTGAGGGCAGCCTAATCCTCTGAGCTATGGCAAGGGTAATTAACATAGGAATGTAGAGGAGTCTATCTAAATAGCTTGTTTACTCACGTGGTCCTATGACTAACCTTTGACTGCCTGCAGGTCCAT
The DNA here is from genome assembly GCF_000001405.40 of Homo sapiens. Lineage (NCBI taxonomy): Eukaryota > Metazoa > Chordata > Mammalia > Primates > Hominidae > Homo > Homo sapiens. The sequence goes on from NC_000023.11 coordinate 147,699,230, forward strand.
TATTGCTCTCTACTCAGGGGGTCTGCAATGGTAATTACCTTCTAGTGGTGTTTACTTGAGACTTTTGTCATTTAATGTGTGCTGAATAAATAAATGCCAGCAGGGCCAGCAAGTCAAGGCCAGCAGCTGCAACTCTTTACAGCACTCTCCTTGGAGTCTGTAAGTGGCCCAGATGCTCAGCTAGACTAACAGGCATAATATCTGTGTCAGTGTATGTTATTCATCTGTCATCGGGTTAGGGTCTGTGGGATAGACCCCCGCAATTTTGCCCTTGTGATACCCTGAGCAGAATACTTAGTTGAGATACAGCCAACATAATACTGAATGGGGAAAAGTTGAAAACATTCTGAGAACTGGAACAAGACAAGTATGCCCACTCTCACGACTCTTCTTCAACATAGTACTGCAAGTCCTAGCCGGAGCAATCAGACAAGAGAAAGAAATAGAGGGCATCCAGATTGGTGAAGAGGAAGTCAAACTGTCACTTTTTGCTGATGATATGATAGTTTACCTTAAAAACTCTAAGGACTCCTCCAAAAAGCTCCTAAAACTGATAAAAGAATTCAGCCAAGTTTCTGGATACAAGATTAATATACCAAGCAGAGAATCAAATCAAGAACTCAACCCCTTTTACAATAGCTGCAAAAAATAAATACTTAGCAATATACCTAACCAAGGAGGTGAAAGATCTCTACAAGGAAAACTACAAAACACTTCTGAAAGAAATTACAGATGACACAAACAAATGGAAACACATCCCATGCTCGTGGATGGGTAGCATCAATATTGTGAGAATAACCATATTGCCAAAAGCAATCTACAAATTCAATGCAATCCCCATCAAAATACCACTTTCATTCTTCACAGAATTAGGAAAAACAATTCTAAAATTCACATGGAACCAAAAAAGAGCCCACATAACCAAAGCAAGATAAGCAAAAAGAACAAATTGAGACATCACACTACCTGATTTCAAACTGTATTTTAAGGCCATAGTCACCAAAACAGCGTGAAACTGGTATAAAAATAGGGACATAGACAAATGGAACAGAATAGACAACCAAGAAATAAGCCCAAATACTTACAACCAACTGATCTTTGACAAAGTAAACGAAGTGGGGAAAGGACAAATGGTGCTGGGATAATTGGGTATCCACATGTAGGAGAATAAAACTGGATCCTCATCTGTCACCCTATACAAAAATCAACTCAACATGGATTAAGGACTTAAATCTAAGACCTGAAACTAAAAATTCTAGAAGATAACATCGGAAAAACTTGTCTAGACATTGGCTTAGGCAAGGATTTCATGACCAAGAATGCAAATGCAATAAAAACAAAGATAAATAGCTAGGACTTAAACTAAAGAGCTTTTGCACAGCAAAAGGAAAAGTCAGCAGAGTAAACAGACAACCCAGAGAATGGGAGAAAATCTTCACAATCTATAAATCTGACAAAGGACTAATACCAAGTACCTACAAGGAACTCAAATTAGCAAAAAAAAAAAAAAAAAAAAAAAAAAAAAAAAAAATCCCATCAAAAAGTGGGCTAATCGACAATTCTCAAAAGATATACAAATGACCAACATGAAAAAATGTTCATCACTAATGATCAGGGAAATGCAAGTCAAAATCACAATGTGATACCACCTTACTCCTACAAGAATGACCGTAATCAAAAAATCAAAAAACTGATGTTGACATGGATGCAGTGATCAGGGATCACATCTACACTGCTGATGGGAATGTAAACTAGTACAGCCACTATGGAAAACAGTGTGGAGATTCCTTAACTCAAAGTAGAACTAACATTTGATCCAGCAATACCACTACTATCTACCCAGAGGAAAAGAAGTCATTATATGAAAAAGATACTTGCACATGCATATTTATAGTGGCACAATTCGCAATTGCAAAATCCGGGAACCAACCCAGATGCCCATCAATCAATGAGTAGATAAAGTGTGTGATACACACACACACACACACACACACACACACACACACACACACTTGATGGAATACTACACAGCCATAAAAAGGGATGAATTAACAGCATTTGCAGCGACCTGGATGAAATTGGCGTCTATTATTCTAGGTAACTCAGTAATGGGAAACCAAATACCGTATGTTCTCACTGTTATGTGGGAGCTAAGCTATGAGGCCGCAAAAGCATACGAGTGATACAATGGACTTTGGAGACTTGGGGGTAAGTGAGGGAGGGAGTGAGGAATAAAAGACTACAAATAGGTTGCAGTGTATACTGCTCAGGTGATGGGTGCACCAAAATCTCACAAATCACCACTAAAGAACTTACTCATGTAACCAAACACCACCTGAACCTCAACTTATGGAGAAATAAAAAATATAACAAAAGATACTTCAACACTGAAGTCCTGAGAAGTTCAGTGCCTTTCTTAAAGTCATTCAACTTGTCCACAGTAGCACTGCGATGGCTAGAATCCAAGTCTAGTTTACTTTGACACTACAGTCCTAAATAAATAATTGAAAATTATTTTATTCCCTCCTTTCCTCTCCCTCCTCCCTCTGTCATACTTTACATTTGACAGTTAATATACCTCAAAGGCTTCTTCCTTAACAGCCCCGTGTATATATAATAAAGGCTTTGGTAATGCTGCTCTGCATCAAACAAACATATGCATTCCTATAGTTCAAAATGAGAAGCTTCCTCTCTTGTTTGACACCTTTTACTAATGATTTGTAGAAAAATATCCTGTAAACCACAGAGCTGGGAAAATTCCCTAATCCAGTTGTCAACAGGGATCATATCACAAATTATCTTTGTTAAATCATTTTCCTAACTTTCTGGTATAATTAGCTCTGGGTCTTCCATCAGAGATTTAGCTTTCTAGTTATGGCAATTCTAAGTACATCAAAATGCATCCTCACCTGGGGTTTACTGCTTTACCTGAGCTGCTTTTGCATCTGTTATATGGAAATAAAGCCACCTATTTCCTACACACATTAGGTAAAGAAGAAGTGTTATTTTTAGAACAGAAGCAACAGATATAATTCAGTTCAAATTTCTTTGCTTTCGAGTAAGCAGTGTAATCTCTGGGTACAAAAGGGAATCACATCTTCCCAAGCATTGCTATGTGTGGTTGTAGACAGTTGCTTTGGGGAACTGGGGAAAGAGAAAAGGTACACAAGAGAAGCACTAGGAAACCAGAAAGTGGGACATAGGCAAAACCCTTACTGATGACTTCGACTCGGAAGCAGGCTTCAGAATACATTTGAAACCAGTATGTGTTTTTAGTGATATAACGCGATAGAAAACATCCACACTGAGGCCATAGTGGCCACATGCCTGCCAGTGAGTAAAGGCAGAACAAATCCCATCCTAGTACACAGACATAGTCTTAGGAAAATTTTTAAAATCACACCAGGTACCCTTTGAGAGTGAAAATAGGAAGGACTTTTATTCCATGCTGGCTGGGGACTAGGCCTGACCTCAGAGGGACTATCAGAGGCAACAGCACTATCCAATCATGTTTCTTGGGGTTTTCATCAAAAAAGATTGTGGTGTCACTTCTTCAATGGCTGAGAAGCCCCCTCTGCAGCCTGGGCAATAGGAGCTTCCCTTTTTCCTCAGGGTTCTCAGGCCCTATTCATCCCTCTAGCCAAAACGATATTCTAAATCTCATTAATAATGTACTTGTGTATGGTGCCTTACATCTGACAAGTTTTCACATGCACCTTTGTTCCACATGATCCGCAAACATCATCTTCAAAATATTCAAAATGACTTCTTACCCTCTCCACCCCTGCTCCTTGGTTCAGATCACCGTCGTCATCTCCCCACCGGATTACTTCAATAGCCTCCTTGTAGGTTTCCCTACCTCTACTCTTGCCCTCCTGCTGTCCATTATCAAAACAGCACTCCCAGTGATCCCCCTTAAAACTTAAGTTATATTGTGTCACACTCTTGCTCAAAACCCTCCAATGGCTTCCTATCTCGCTATGACCCATGAAACCCTACTTGATCTGTACCCCCATTACACCTTGACCTCATCTTCTATTCCTCTCCCTCTCATGCCCTTTTTTCCACAAACATTGGCTTCCTTGCCAGTCCTTGATTGTGCGATGTACGTTCCTGCTTTTAAGCCTTTTTTCTAGCTGTTTGTGGCAACAGTCATGAACTCTTTTCTCGCATCAGATGTTTTAAACCTCCTTAAGCTTACTGATTCACTAGAAGAAATCACAACTTAATAGCAGTTTATACTCCTGGCTAAGATTATAGCAAAAGACACGGAGTAAAAGCAGCAGGAAAAAGATGCACTGAAGGAGTCCAGAGAAGTCCAGCACAGGCTTCTGATGTCCTTCCTTATCCAAGGCCACACAAGACAGGCTTCTTAGCTGGCAGAAAACTACAGGGACAAATGTGGAATGACTCTGCCAAAGGAAACCCATTTAAGCCTCAGGGCCTGAGGCTCTCAGAGGGTTGGTCACATAGGGACATCTTGCCAGCAATCAGCCATGGCAACTGAAATTCAGGAGCTCAATGAAACAAGGTACACACAATCAATCTTGATGCTTGAGCAAAACAATCATGCAAGCTGCTCTGGTATGGTTCATTTCTTCAGGTATATACAACAAAATAATTCAATGATATCAAGAACATTCTGAGGATTACATTTCCGGGGATTCTTCAAAAAATAGAGGACACTGGAGACATCCAAGGAATGAACAGCCAGACCTATTGTGTTCATTCTTTCTTCATGCTCCCTAATCTTGATGTACTTCCCTGTAATGGAATATATTTACCAGCCTCTGATAAGCTTAAATACTTATAATCACAAATTATTAAATACTTATAATTAAATCCAAAGAGAGGAAGCCTCTAAAAAAATTGTGGGAATGGCTATTAGCCATGTAATATAAGCAAAAAAATAAGTACTTGTGTTTGTCAGAGCCTGGAAAATTAGAGTTGTTGCTGCAGCAGAAGCTGACTAATATATCATTCTTTCTTTCTTAAATGCTCTTCCCCAGGTATCCCTTGGCTTATTCTCTCACCTCCAAGTCTTTACTCAAATCTCATACTCCCCAAAGGCCTACACCAGTCACCCTAGGCAATATTATAACTGACATCCAAAACCCTACCTGCAAATTTGATTCCTCTTAACCGCTTCTATGTTTTCATTAGCATTACATTAGCACTCATCACCTCCTAATGTATAATTGATTCATTCATTATGTTTTCTCCCCCTACCACTTGTTCCCTGCCACCCCCACCCCGACCCTTGCTAGAATAAAAAGAAGGCAAGGACATTTGTCTGCTTTGTTCAATAATGTATTCAAAGAACCTAGGATAGTGCCTAGGACATAGGGAGTACTCAATAAATATTCAGTATTTATTGAATGACAGAGTATGCTAGGGATTATTATCCCCATTCTTTCAGATAAGGAAATTGAGACATGGAGAGGTTAAGTAACTCGAGCAAGTTATTTTTTAGGTGCACAGAGTTGAATCTAAAACAAGTCTGTAGAATTACAAGCTGTGACCACATCAGGGTCAAATTCAAATATAATTAGATATTTTAACATTTAAGGAAATTGTATGCTGTATAAATATGGATGACTACAAAAGTCCATTAAGTTCAAAGATTTTTAAAATTAAATGGAAAAGATATGTACATATACTAATCAAAGATCTTTAGAGTTTAAAGGAAAATACATATAATGATAACAACAGTTAACATCTATATAGCATCAACTATGAGCCAGGGTCTATTTCAAAGGGTTTTACTTGCATTAATGCATTTAATTCTCATTAAAAAAACTTATGATGTAGTTTCTGGTATTATCTACATTTTACAGATTAGAAAACTGAGGTACAGAGAGTTTAAGCTCCTTTTCCAAGGTCACACAACTAATAAGTGGTATAGCCAAGATTTGAACCAAGGCAATCTGGGTCCATAGTCCATGCTTGGGCACTAAGCACTACGGCACATCTTAAACACAGAATTGTAAGTGGTCAACTTGGGAGGACATTGGTGAACCTGAGAAGCAGCATTAGGTAATTTGAGTTAGGAAACTCATTCCCTTTTAAGCGGAGTCACCTGAGATACAGTGACTGTACAAAAAGGGCTCAGAATGAGACCTCAAGCTCCAGGCCTCAAACCTGGTCAGCATCTCCTATTGAAAGTAACCACAGGAATTTGGAACAATGACTATTTTCTTTAGTGAGTAGAGATTTAAGTGTGGGAAGATTTAGAATTCAGAACACCATGGAATGCTATGCAGCCATAAAAAAAAGAATGAAATTATGTCCTTTGCAGCAACATGGATGCAGCTGGAGGTCATTATCCTAAGCAAATTAACTGAGGAATAGAAAACTAAATACTGCATGCTCTCACTTATAAGTGGCAACTAAACATTGGGTACTAATGGACATAAAGATGGCTACAATAGAAATTGGGGACTACTAGATAGAGGAGGGAGGTGATCAAAGGTTTAAAAGCTATTAAGGTACTATGCTCCCTACCTGGGTAACAGGATGCAACATATCCTAAAATTCAGCATCATGCAGTGTAGCCATGCAACAAACTGGCACATGTATACTGATTCTAATACAAGTTGAAATTATTAAAAATAAAATAGAGATTTCAGAGACTTGATCTATAATTATAGATTTGTACATGTTTGGCATCTATATATATATATATATATATATATATATATATATATATATATGCAATTTTAAGAGAATTTGGACTTTTACAGTGACACCCTTGTAACTCCAATTTAAAATGAAGAACTAAGTAATTGACTATTAAGTGGAGTTTTACTGCATTCTTTAACACTTAGAATGTCTACGAGAACTTGGTTCACCATGTATATAAATTCAATGTATTGTAATAATTATTTAATACTCTGGAGGCTTTGTCTTTTCAGATAGAAGACCCAAGAAAGAAAAATAAGTACCATATTTTAAATATATAAATGCAGTTTAAGATATTTGAAGGTGTTTAAGTTGGTAAATGGGACCATACATTGTTTAAAAGTCATCGAAGGACTGTTAAAATCTATTAGATTTTTAAATAGAATAATATTTGTATGCAGAACGCAAAAGCAAAGGGAAAACTAGGTTTGAGGATTTATAACTTTAATAAATTGAATATAAATATTTAAAACCTAAAGAAAACTTCTGAACAATCTGTTTTGAGAAAACCAAAAATTCACTTCTAAAACACCTAGGCTCTCTGACTTGGGTCCAATGTCCGTCTCAAGCCATTAAAATTGACTGATTTTGCCCCCATCAGGAACACTCTTAACTAGTGTGTTCTGCAGTATAAGGACAGAGCGAGCAGATTTACCTTATAGAGGAAGGTGACACTTCAAGAAAAACCTCTAAGGAGTTTTGAGATTTTCTCCCTTGAAATCTAGGATTCCTCAAAGATTACATATACACATACATATATATATACATATACGTGTATCTCCCTGCTTCCTTTTCTCAGCCCACAGTCTATCTGCCAATAAATTGCCCTCATTTTGTAGCTAAATGAAAGATTTGCAAATGATCAGATGCAGTTTGTTTTTGTTGTACCTTTTTCCTCTGGGGATAAAGTTATTCAAATAGTGTTCCCTAACTCTGATAATACATATCTTCAACAACCAACACTTTGGACCTCAGTATTGATTTGCTTGAATCTCTGAATTGTTTTTTTTTTTTAACATTGCAACCCCAAGGGGGTGGTTTGTGGTGGAAAAATCTACTTCCATTAAAACTCTACATGTCAATTCACTAAAAATTCTCTTTTAGATCGACATACAATTGAAGGAGAAGGTTTTGTCAGTCCTTTTTCATTTGAATCATAAATCCGAAAAATAACCTTCCGAAAGCCATGAAGATTGCTCCCTAACAATATGGCATCCTTCAACCACAAATTGTATAAAGCACAATATCCCTAGGTATCTAATATACAATGACTGTGGACCCTTATTTAAATTCAGAAATTTGCAGCTATATTGCACATTGTAATATAAATTTCATTGTGAATCTGTAAGAGCAAAGTATTTGGTATTTAATAGAATTTGTAATTCAGTTTGAAGCCAAAAGTATATATTTGGTTTCAGCTGAAATTCAGCAACCAAAGAAAACTAAAATATATAGCATGGGAAGACTTGGACCTTTAACTTCTCTTAGGCAATCAGCCTCACCTTTGAGTTTCCGAATCTTTATCAAGCAACTATTAATTAAATCATAGCTTTCCCCTCTCTGTAAAATGCTGTGTAGCAATGATGTAGTTGCTTATATAAAACTGAAGCAGAATAACTGGCCAAATGCATGATAGGATGTATACATCGTTAATTTTTCCAATAATTTTGAATCTTTCAGAAACTTATTGGCCTTAATCTAACCTCCTGCAGTGATTCTGTTATAAGGAACATTAAGCCCATTATGATGGATGAAATCTTCCATTGACTAATCTGGTATTAGATCACAAAATGACGTGATGAAAAATAGATTACATGCTAGATTCCACTATCATTCTTTTGAACAATGAAAATGACTTCTCAGTTTTCAATTAACTATTTTTACCTCAACAGTCTTTAATTTTTTTTTTAGCTATCTTTCCTAATTGCTCTACATATGAGAGAGGCATCAATAATGTTCAGACATGATATAGCCCATAGTCGTCTGGGGCTCAGAAAAGATTTGATAGCACACAAAACTAATTACAAAGTGTTTATAAAGGGGTCTCAGTCTTCACTAAAGGCACAACCATTATTCCCCCAGTTACTTTCTAATTGCACTCTATTATTGTTGACAAATTCAGAAGCCTAAAGACTCAATTATGAAGACTGCTTATTGACTGCACTCTGTCCTTACTAACTGTTGTTGTTATAAAGAATTAGAAAAACTGATGTTTCTATCTCTAATTCATGAAGAATAGTTCTCTTGATGAATTAGAACTTGCACATCTGAATAATGGCCTCTTGAAAATACATTCTCTTAAAATGATTTTCAAGTCATAAGTTGGCAATCCTCCCGTATTGTAAATTACAGCTAAAACAATTTTTATTTTTGCATCTGAATCGTGTCACTGTGATTGAATTCAAAGTTATATATTTTTGCACATACTGTAGGATATTTTGATGGCATAAAATTCAGGGAGTTGATAAAATTTGGTTAACCCTGTATGTCTTTGAACTATCATCTCTACAGGTATGAAAATTCTGAATTAAGTGAAAGAGATAAAACAATAGTAAAAGGTGTAATGCAGAAGTCCTAGTATACTATGTGCTGGGATGGTAAACAAGGCCCCACCCTCCTGAGCCCTGGACCTGTTTTCTTATCCCACTTTTACCATGAACTACCATGTGGACATCCTAACCATAGATTCCTCTTATATTAAATAAGAAGTTGGGACTAGATTATTATAGAGGCTCCTTCAGCTCTATAACTGTGATTCTACAAATACCAATTTTTAAAGTGGGACACTGCAACAAGAAAGTATTCTCTATCTTTGCATTCAAGTTTCCAGTTTATAGTTTCCCCCTAGAACAGATGTAACAGTGACTATTTCTTCTTTAATCATTTGTCATCTTCCCCGAAAGTCACTAATGGATCTTTATCACAAATTTGGGAAGAATGAATTAGGGTTAATGGTTAAAAAAATAAGAACCACACTCATTTTTTCCATCTGTAGCTTCTCAAATTATTAATACCAGCATATACCTATCACACCAACAGCTCTTACAGAAGTTTATATTTCTTACCACACACAATGGAGAAAATACAGTAATCTCGATAATTCAAGTTACCTTATACACATACATACACACTCACATCTCTTGCTCCAATTACCCAGGTATTTCAAGAGAGAATACAAGCAAAACAGTGAAAGGTATGTTAAACGTGCTTTCACAGATTTAAAGAACGCTGGAGAAAAGATTCAAATACTTGGGTAGGAGTAGAACTAAACTTCAAGGTCTCAAATAGCTCTAAAGTAGTGCAATAGCCCAGTGGATCAGGAACCAGAAATCTACTCCAAGTTCTAAGTCTGCCCCTTACTAGGTATTCAAAGCTTACCAAGTCTGAAGTAATAAAAAGAGGATGGCAATTCCATCCCCTTCTCAGAATCATTCTCAAGTACTGAATGAAATAAATACCTGTGAGCACTATGGGCTATAAAGGTAATATATAGTGTGATTCTACCTCCATGAACCTCAGATCGTATAACAATTATTTTCCTTTTAACTGTATTGAACAGCTAGACTTTCCTACCCTTGATACTGCATAATGTAGTTGATGAAGAAAACTCAGGACTCATGGTAGAAGACTTAGACTCCATATTTCACATGGCTCCTCACTAGGTTTCCTTAGATCTCCTGAATCAGAAGCCAGAAGTCTGGTTCATTCTCATTCAACTTTTAACCACTAAGAGAAGTCCAGAACCAAACACTAACTGAAAACTCAACTAGAAGAAACTTTAAAAATGGCTAAAGCTAACCCTAGGCTGCCATATTAAATTTAAAGGCCTATGAAGCGTATCTCTGGAGTAATAAGTCAGTTATCTTTTTGGATATGCTCAGAACCTGATGAGACAAGAATTGATCTTTAGATTTAGATCAGCAGAGGGTTAGAGAAGGATAACTAGCTTTGACAAGATGAATTTCTACTGGAGAGGGAAACTGCAGATAGGGTTAGAGATCGTAGAAGGGTGAGTAATGGCCTACAAAGCTATCCGCATCCAGATCCCCGAAACTGTAAATGTGACCTTATAGGGCAAAGTGATTTTGCAGATGTAATTATGAACCTTGAGGTGGTGACATTATCCTGAATTATTCGAGTAGGCCCTAAATGTAGTCAGAGATATCTTTGTAAGAGACGCAGAGGGGAAATTTGACCACAGAAGTAGGAGATATGACTAGAGAAGCAACGTGTTAGTGTAATGCAAGGGATGGGCCAAAAAAATGCAGGCAACTTCTAGAACTTGGAAAAAGAAAATAGATCACATAGAGTTATCAGTGGGAGTTTGGCCCTGTAAACACCTTTTTAGTCCACTGAAACTCACCGTAGACTTCTGGCCCTCCAGAAATATAATTTGTTAAGCCCATAAATTTGTAGTAATTTGTTATAACTATAGGAAACTAGCAAAATGATGCTTAGTTCACTCTTGCTACATCCTTTTGACACTCTTGGCTTGAAGGCTGACTTTTCACTACCACTTGCAGATACTCAGAAAAGATCAGTGTGTGGGCCTTAGATTCTTGTGCCTATGATCTGCCTAAAGCTTTGGAGTAAAGAAAGGCAGCTTAAGAATAGAAATACTTACTTCCTGCTGGGTCTGTTTAACTACTAAGGCGACTCAGTTGACTGTGGTTACATCACGGGTTGGCAGCTTGGAAACAGGATACCTTTATCTTCAGATACTTGTGAGAATAATTTTATTCAAAATATTTCAGGTACAACCTAGTAAACTATTTTAGCTACATAAATAATTGCAAAAACTAAAATACAGTATCTTCCATTCTGTTGAATTTACGAGGTGCTACTCCCTTAAGATCATATGTGACAGTTGGCTGATTGACTTGACATCTGTTAATAGTTATGGTACCACTATCTTATATATGCACAGCAATTTATAACTTACATAAATTCTTTCATTCTCACTATAATCTACTGGGGGAAATATCTTCATTTTAAAGACAAAAAAAAAAAAAAAACCGAAACCCAGAGAGACTTTCCTCATTATCTCAAAACCTAATGAAGTCACAACAAGGACACCAAAGCTTGTCTTCTGACAACATAGAACACAAAACAGAATCACTATCTAAAACAAGAAGTGGGATGCTCCCAGAGTTTCTACGGATGAGCAGACAGGATTAACAAAAATAGCCTTATTTATCAGAGTTGTAAATTGTTATGAATATATACTCTTTGTCTTCACAATCAATACTGAGAATCCCTGAAGTGCTGTAAAGGGAACAAAAGGTAGAATAAGGCACATTGACCTTGAGAACTGACTGTGCCTCTTTTCAGCTATATGACCATACGACACTTAAAAGTTTACTTCATTTTCTAGGTTTCAGTTTTCTATGAAACCTGTAATAAAAGTGGATAATACCATTCTATAGATGAACAAACAAGTTATTTCCCCAACTTCATACAGCTAATAACTAGAAGATATAATACATAAAAGCAAGTCTTGTTTTTTATTAAATTGACAAAGATTATATATATGTCATACAATATTTTGATATGTTAATTAGATTGATATAACCATTCCACAATGTATATACATTATTATCTCACATTTATCATTTTTGTGGTAACATTTAAAATCTGCTCTTGGCAATTTTCAAGTATGCAGTACATTAACTACGGTCACTATGTTGCACAACAGAACTCCTGAATTTATTACACCTAACTGAAATTTTGTACCCCCTTGGCTAACATCTTTCCAATCCCTCCCCTCCCTGATAAACACCATTATATTCTTTGCTTCTGTTTCAGATTCCACATAAGTGAGGTCATGTGGTTTTTGTTCTGCAGTACCTGGCTTATTTCACTTAATATAATGGCCTCCAGGTTCGTCCGGGCTTGTCGCAAACAGCAGGATTTCCTTCTTGAAGACTGAATACTATCCCATTGTGTGTGTATATATATCAAATTTTCTTCATTCCATCATTGATGGACGCTTAGATTGCTTCTGTAACTATTATAAATAATGAAGAAATGCAACATTTGTTTCATATTCTTTAGATGTATACCCAGGAATAGAATTGGTTAATAGTATGAGAATACTATTTTTGTTTTTGAAAAAATATTCCTACTTATATTCATAATGCCTACACTAATTTACATACCCATCAACAGTGTGCAAGTTTTTCTGCACATCCTTACCAATACTTGTTCTCTTGTTTACTGATAACAGCCGCCCTAACAGGTGTCAGGTGATGCTCATCATGGTTTTAATGAACATTTCCCTGATGATTAGTGATGCTGAAAATTTTTTTTATACATGTTGGCAATTTGTACGTCTTCTTTTGAGAAATGTCTATTCAGGGCCTTTGCTGACTTTTTAGCTAGGTTATTTGCTTTTTTGCAATTGAATTGAGCCCCTTATATACATATACTTACATGCTAAAGGATACTAACCCCTTATCAGATATATGGTTTTCAAATATTTTCTCCTATTCCATAGGTATTCTTTACTCTGTTGATTGTTTCCTTTGCCGTACATAGCTTTCTAGTTTGATGAAATCCATTGTTTTTATTGTCTGTGCTTTTGGGGTCATATTAAAAATACCTTTGCCTAGACCAATATTATGTTGCTTTTCCCCTATGTTTTTGTCTCTTTACCATTTCCAGTCTTACGTTCGAGTCTTTCGCTTCAAGTTGAATTTTGTATATGGTATGAGATAAGGGTCCAATTTTTGTTTGAGGAGGGGTGGGGTGGGAAATGGAGTCTCACTCTGTCACCCCAGTTGAAGTACAGTGGTACCTCCTCAGCTCACTGCAACCTCCATCTCCCGGGTTCAAGCGATTCTCCTGTCTCAGCCTCCAAAGTAGCTGGGATTACAGGAGTGTGCTACCATGCCTGACTAATTTTTGTATTTTTAGTAGAGACAGGGTTTCACCATGTTACCCAGGCTGGTCTCAAACTCCTGACCTCAGGTGATCCACCTGCCTCAGCCTCCCAAAGTGCTGGGATTACAGGCCTGAGCCACCCCACACCCGGCCCAATTTCATTCTTCATGTCAAACTCTAGCTTTCCTAGCATGATTTATGCAAAATATTCATTTCCCCCTTGTGTTTTTGAAACTTTGTCAGAGATCAGTTGACCATAAGTACACACATTTACTGCTTTCTCTATTCCATTCCATTGGTCTATATGTCTGTTTCTATGCCAGTACCATGCTGTATTGATTACTATAGCTTTGTAGTAAATTTTTAGATCAGGTAGTATGGTGCCTCCAGCTTTGTTCTTTTTGTTCAAGGTTGTTTGGGGTATTTAGGGTCTTTTGTGGTCCCATATGAATTTTAGGCTTTTTGTCTATTTCTGTGAAAAATCTCATTGGAATTTTGTTAGCATTTCATTGAATCTGTTGACTGTTTTGGGAAGCATAAACATTTTGACAGTATTAACTCTTTCAATCCATAAACATGGGATCTCTCCATTTATTTGTGTCTTCAATTTTTTTAAATATTTTTTTTCAATGGAGGGCTTCTCAGAAGAGGTGACATACAGAGTTATGAAGAATAAGTAGGAATTTGCCAGCCAAAGTAGGAAGGAAAGCCAGTTTTTCTGACAGAAGATCCAAGAATCTTGCATGAAAAACCTCTAGACAGTACTATGCACACTCATGTCAATTAGCATTGTATGTTAAACAAATGTTTCTTGTCACAGTTGTGTATAGCAACCAGGGTATTCACACAAGCTCATGATTTTAAAAGAAATTGTTAACTTCGTGTAGCATACAGAGGATCAGTTGGCTGGCTCTAAGTGGTATGCCTCCTGTTTTTAAAATATTGTTTGGGGAATATAAATACCTGCTGGGTATCACATTTTAAAAGGCACACTACATTTTGAAAAATCACTAGTGAGATTGATTTCTGACATCAAAACAGACCATGACACTAATATTCAGAGAGTTTATACCAAGAGGTAACAGCTCTCACCTTCCTCACCAGGAAAGGCAATAGAGATTGCTATTCAAGACTGCTATTCAAGACTGCCAGAGTTATCTTATACAAAACAAGATGCAGTATGTAAAGGTGTATAGAAAAGTAAAATAACTCAATCATTTTCGTTTTTACATGAGTAAAACACTTTCCTATCAGATCCAAGACAAATAAATCAACTAAAACACTTTTATTGAAAGGCTTATTTTAGCAGATACCTTCCTTCAGTGTAAGTTTATCCCATTTTCAGATAATGCGTATGTCCCAAAATATTTGTAATATATCTGAGTTATAAAAGTGTTTTTGCTTTCTGTGTAACTGACTTAATTGAAAAGCAGCAATTTTTATATCCCATGGTAACAAAAAAAAACAAGGATTAGAGCAAAGCACCACTGTTGTGTTAAGTTCATTTTTCAACCTGATTTCTTGAAAATGAAATGAGTTTTTGGTAAACTTTTTCCATGTCTAAATCCTTTAGCAGCCAATATTTGACCTTAAAACATGCAAATCTGAACTGAATATTGAAAATCTGTCTAATCTTAGACCAACTGGAAAGCCAAAGCCACTCCCTTCTGTTTCTCTGCTTACACTGAAAAATAAATGAGTTTTTTAATACTAAAATAATCTTCCTAGCCTCTCTCCTATATAGTACCTGGGTGCACATGTAAATAGACCAACAGCAGAATCCAACATTTACCAGTTTCTAGAACAATGATCTGTTTCAATTCTAAAATTAGAAAAACAAATCTTGGGCCTATACAATGCTTATTAATTTTTTTTAATCATCTAAGTCAGGGGGAAAACAGTGATGTTTGCTATAAAATTGTACCAACCGAACTTAAGAGGTATGCCTTGGACTGTCAAGAGCACATACCCAGCAGTTTGAGCAAGCTATGGAAAAGCCACATGGTATGTGGATGCAGTTGTTTTGAATGAGCTATTTTTTGTTTTGGTCTTCTGCTTTAATGTATCTATTTTGATGCCTAGGACAAACCATTAAACTTGCAGCTTAAAGAATTACTGAAGTGTGTAAAACATCTTCACATCATCACCTTGCTTCTCCTTCTGGCCTACTTCCATCCCAGAGTGTGAATGGAGGATGAGGAATGAATGCAGAATGGCTTCAGTCTCAGATAGGGTGAGGTAATGTGAGTAGAAATGGAATGGAGATTAGACATCTAGTAGATAACCTGCATAAAACTAGAAGTCATACAATTACCATGTTCACTCACTGAATACAGTGACATTCATCATTTTAGCAGTTACTCAGTATACAATTGTTTCTTGAATGGTCTGCATCTCATATTCTCAAATTTCATCATTGAAGTTAGTCACATGAAGTTACTTTCTAGATATAGATATGGATACAGATGTATGTATAGAGACAGTCAAAAAATACAATCTGGTTGTCTTACTAATTGAATGATTTGAAAATCTTCCTGAATATGGAAACTTTATTACAGATCATATGTAAGACATTGGTCTGGGGTGAAGACAGAAGCAATGAGGAAAGCTATTTGAACTACAACATGATCTCTTATTCTCTGCTTTTAATGGCACAGGAAACCTAAAGATGAAATGTCTAACATTTTTCTTGGTATGTAAATCTCAGCCACAACTCTGGTTTAAGAGAAATATCGCTTTTCTGTAATTCAAGCTGATTTCTACTTTGAAACTTCCTTCTTCCCAGCTGATAGAAATTGAATCTCAGTTAACTCATAGATCTGCCATTCACCTCTGTAATTTCGTAGTTCTGTAGGGACTTCCACTTCCCTCTGCCATAATGGAAGTTCCTGCTAGCTTTATAAGCATCTCTCCCATTCTGTTTGCACCAGGAATCTTTGGTTCCTCTGAGACTGCTGGAAACCATAACTAGTGAGCCTCCTCTGTCGATGAGGTCCACTGTGTGAAATCACTCATATGAGGCAACTGATTACTTCGTTCAAGAAATATTTATTAAGGGATCACTACATCCCAAGCAGTTCATTCCAGCAGCGAACAAGACAGAAACATTTCTTTGATCTCATGGGAGCAGCCAGATACTATGCACCCAACTACGTAAAACACCTTGTGTTTCAGTTGCAGATGGGTGTTATGGAAAAAAAAATCAAACGGGAGAGAATGGGAAAGGAGGTTGTAATTTTGTAATTTTGGATTGGCTGGAAGGCTTCACTATGAAAGTGGCATTTCAAGAAAAACCAGAAGGAAAGGAGGGAGTGTTCCATGTGAATATCTGTTGGGAGTGCATTCCAGGCCCAGTGAACAGTAAATGCAAGGCCCTTAAGGGAGGAACAGCAAAGAGGCCACTGCAGTTGGAGCTGAGTATCCAAGAATGGCAGATTAGGTCACCAGAGGGCCAGATGGAGGAGGCAATCAGCATAGAATGGTCTTACAGAAACATAATGCAAGCTACTATGAAAATTATACACTTACACTTTAAAAAGGAAAAAAAGTAGAAATTTAAATAACTTTATCAAATATATTAAAAACATTGCCATATATAAGCAATATAAAATTAAGAAGCTATTTAACTTTTTTAATGCTAAGGCTTCAATATCTAGTGGTATTTTATACTTACGGCACTTCTCAATTTGGACTAACCACATTTCAAACGCTCAGTAGTCACTTGTGGCTACCTCATTGGACAGTGCAGGTCTAGCTACTCAAATGAGGGGAAGAGCAAGGAGGGAAAATACCAGGGGAAAAGAAGTTGATTATGTATCATTGACATCCTGTCATACATTCTATTTCCTATAACATTTCTTTCTGATCAGGAGGCAGTATTTAAAAATCTTTTATAATTATAAGTCATATGCATCTCAAAATTTCATATATAGAAATGAAGAATGTAAAGTAGACTCACTAGAAGTTCAGTTCCACAGCAACAGGGATTTTTTTTTTTTTCTGTTTTCCTACCTCCTATATTGCCAGAGCCTAGGATAATACCTTGCATATAGTTTGGTACTTAAAAAGTATGTTGAATGAGCTAAGCAGGTAGAATTAGTTTCTAACTCCATATCCCTGCAGTCAAACCTGCAAACCTACCTACATTTAGATGTTTTTCATTTGTTTATCTGTAATTACAGTGGAGGACCTGTTCCTACTCTTCCCTAAGGCAATCTTCCACTGGAGTTTGATACTCCTCATGGCCTTCATGGCCTTCAAGGCCTTCACTTCTTCCCTAATTGCATCTCTTTTTGGCATTAGCATCCCTCAGGTTAAGGAAAAATACTGATGATTACACGTTCCTCTCCTATGTTATGCCTTATTTCTCATCTCCCTTTTATAGCTAAACTCACCAAAATATTTGTCTATACTGTCTCCAGTTCTTTTCCCATTCTACTGAATCCACTCCAATCTGTCTTTTGTGCAACAAATGACATCCAGGCTACTAATGATCACTGATGACATCCATAGGGATTAACCCAGTGGATACTTTGCTGCACTAGTCTCATGCCTCCTCTCATATACTTGAGACAATGAAGCACTCTTGATTTTCCTTTTATCTCAGTCACCACTCTACTGTCACCTTCACTGGCTCTCTTCCTGCAGAGATTTCTAGAGGTTGGGATATCTCCTCAAACCCACCCCATACTCCTTCTCTGCTCTTTATCTCACAACTAAGTTCAATACATTAGTCAGTCCTGTCATTTTTGTTTCCAAAATGTATGTTATTTGCCTCTCTTCTTCTTTATTACCATTCCTCTAGCCCAAATCACCATCATCCTCACCTAAATTACTTCCTACTATGTCTCTCTGACCCCATCATGGCCCCTAGACTCATTAAATTTAGCATCCAGAGTGATTATTTTTAAATCAAAGTCAGATCAGTCACTATTCTGTTCCATGGTGCCAATGGCTCCCCATTGTAAGAGTAAAATCCATGACCCCCTTCTATCTGTCCAGTCACATCTCCTACCACTCTTTCCCTTGTCCACTGTACTCCAATTACATTTAGCATTCTTGCTATTCCTCAAAAATTCTAATATCTTTCTTGCCTCAAAGTCTTTATTCCTTATGCTTGGAGGAATATTCTACTTTTCTTAGTCTGGCTGACTCCTGTCCTGGAACTCTCAGGATAAATGTTGCCTCTGCAGAGAGGCTTTCCATAATGACTCTGTATAACTCGTACCACCCCTCCAATCTTCCTTCTGGAACTAAGCTGCTTGTTAACTCCGTAGCACTTTTGACAATTCATAGTCATTTTACTCATTTTTTCTGTCATCTCCACTAAACCATAAGCACTTTCAGGTCAGCATCTCTCGATCCTCATTGCCATATCCTACAGGTATAGCTCAGTATCTGGCTCATTCCATTATAGGTGTTCAATAAATGTTGACGACATGAATGAATGAGTGAATTTAGAGGCACATGGCACCCTGAAGAGATGCTGAGGGAAAAGGGGCAGAGGAAGTGGTGCTGCATTCCTAGTTCAAATCATTGATCTTCACCCCTGAGACTAGCCCCCATACTCAGACTGACTGAGAAAATGCTGGACCCACTGGATAGAGACAAAACTTAGCAGCGTGTCTAGTAACTGTACTCAAACCAAGAATTCACTTGCCAACCGTTCAGCCACAGCTTGAAGGTATTAATATTACTAGTGCATTGGTGCCTCAAATCCCCAGCAGCCAGATTTTTTTCAGGCACACCTGAAGACAGTCTGTGCTCCAGGAAATTTGCAAGCAATTAGAATCAGCAAACCACTGAAGATAATGAGGTGAGAGAGATTGGGGCATGCTCAAAGCTGGAGGTGGAGGTAAAAAAGCACACTCCTATTGCAATTAAACTTCAAGAGAAAATGCCCTTTTTGAATAAGAAAGCAAAACGTAAAATATCTAGGTTTGCCCAGTAGTCTTAATCTATGCTGCGTCTACTCCCTGAAGGCATATGCTTCATCTAAGTAGTGGTATTCTCTGACCCTAATATTTGTAAATGGAGTTATAACGATAGCTACCAAAGTTGAGGATTGAGATAATTCACATAGAACAATCAGCACAATGTTGGTGCATAGCAAGTGCTCGAGATTTATAATTTTGAATATTAGTTCCGGCAATAGATATATCAAATGGAACCTTTCTTACAGGATGAGGATGCAACCAGATGAGTGTAAATAACCTGAGGTCTATAATTTATTAAGTGCTCAACAAATAGTAGTAATTGTTATCTTATTTATGTATGCTTATTTTCTCTCAGATATGTAAAATAGGTAGCGGCAGGTGTTGCCATTTTAGAGACGTGGAAACAGGTTCAAATAGTGAGCTAAACTGCCGAAGATCACACAGCAGTAGATGATCTTAGGACTCGGGTATGGCTGGGCACGGTGGCTCATGCCTGTAATCCCAGCGCTTTGGGAGGCTGAGGCGGGTGGATCATGAGGTCAGGAGTTCAAGACCAGCCTGGCAAAGATGGTGAAACCCCATTTCTACTAAAAACTACAAAAATTAGCTGGGCGCAGTGGCAGGCACCTGTAATCCCAGCTACTCGGCAGGCTGAGGTGGGAGAATCGCTTGAACCTGCGTGGCGGAGGTTTGCAGTGAGCCGAGATCGCACCACTGCACTCTAGCCTGGGTGACAGAGCAAGACTCTGCCTCAAAAAAAAAAAAAAAAAAAAGACTCGGGTCAATGCAATTATGATTACTGTGTTCCTGTTTTTGTAAGTTTTTATTGGAGCAGTGACATTTCCATATTGCCTATGGCTGCTTTCACACTACAACAGACAGATCCCATATAGCTCAGAAAGTCGAAAATATTTTCTCTCTGGCCCTTTACAGAGAAAGTGTTGACCCCACTCTAACTCAAAGGTATTTTAATGACACTGAACTAATTTTCTATCTATAATCATTTTGTAAGTTACCAATAAAAATGAAGCACTGGAAACAGATTGTCATCTAACTTTAGTCCTTTTCAAAAAGCTGAACAGAACTGTGATAGCATCTCTTATGGACAGTGGTCATTGAAGCCGAGTGGGGAGGGCAGCAACAAAACAGCAGCAGATCCCTAGAAGAAAATCTACTACCATGCACTTCTTAAGGCTTCTACTACCAGGTGACTGCAAGAGCCCTTTGACCCCGGGCATCAGTGCCACCTACCATCAACATTCCCAGTTCTGACTAAAAACCACATCACACCTCCCCTTTTCCCATTACTTCACTTTAGTAGCAATAGTAATAGTCATCCCAATTTGCTTCATCTCTGGCATCTGAGCTGCCAAATGTGCGACTGTACCCTCAGCTGACACCACTAAATCAACTGACTAACGGTAAGCATGAAACAAATGGCACCGTCAGTTGCCCTAATGACTAGCTGCTCAATTCTAGGTGTGCCGAGATATTTTTGATTATGATACAGGGCTCTGTCCCATCTGGAGATCGAGACGTCACAATTCCACTAAACAACACTTTGAACCCCAAAAGACCACACTCTTCCCCTCAAAGAAGAGTTTTTGTTAATTAGCGTACACTAGAGTTGGCCCTTCCTTTTACACAGATGGTATGAATAAAGTGTGTTATCAATCAAATCTTTTTGCCTGGCATCTTCATCAGGGTCCCTAGACAACATCTTATTATGAGTGATCTGCTATAAAAGTTACTGAACACTTAAACGAATGTTATTATGATAAACTCACTGACTCTGAACATACAGCTTTGAGTGTTTGATGTTGTAAAACGAATCAATGTTTTCTTCCCTGGTGATAAAGTTGAGTAGCATATCTTATCACTGTTACGAAACTTTTAGTTTAATACTTGTGATTGTAACGTGCTTAGGACTATCTTCATCACTCTAAGGTTTATGTAGGGATTGTACAAGGAATGTATGGGAGGGGGTCTTTATTCCTATATGTCACTATAAAATAAAGTTAATTAGCAGTGGGGTGGTCATTGATACTTAAACGTAGTATACATTGGAATGTTTTACACTGGCTTACACTTTATGTAAGGAATACACTCGGTGGGGGAGATTCAGACCGAAATCTGTAGAAAAGCTATTTCTGAAAGCATAAGAAACAAATTTCAATGAAAGAAAGATATCAGATCCTCAAAAAAAAAATCTTTAAAGAATGCAATACTCTAAGGTATTTTAATTCTTAAATATCATTTGTAACCCACACATGGCTATATTGAGGAAACAACCGAAGTATATTTTATGCTAATCATCCTAGCAACACTCAAGCCTTTATCACATCTATGTTATCTTCCTTGAAGGCTATATTCTGGTTCCGTTTCTACGAAAATGGCATCAGAACCAGATGAATGTAAATAACCTAATGTTTATAACTTAATAAGTGCTCAACAAATGGTAACGATTACTATTGTTTTAGTCATGTGTTGTCTTATTTTTTTAGTAGATATGTGAAATAGGTAGAGGCAAGTAATGCCATATTAGAGATGTGGAAACAGGTTCAAATGGTGAGTAACAAAGGGCTCGACCATAGTCTCTCCAATTGCCAGTTCACGTTGAACACCCTTCTCCTTTTTCTTACATGTAAAGAGACAATGATTAAAGAAGCAGCATTAATATGGTTTTCTCAGAAAGGATGTATGCTAACATATCACATGGAGAGTTAGCGTTTTAGTCACAAAGCTTCCTGGAAAAAAGTCCACAATTTATATAAAGAAATCTGGTCTATAGTGAATTACGTAAGAATGTTACACGCATTGGTCATTCTTTCTAGCATCCCAGAATATAAACCCTCTTCCAATGTATAGGAAAATCCTACCTCATGAGTCTTGTGGGGAAGCAGGGGTTACCGCTCTTCTAGGGAAGTTGAAAACACCAGACACTTGCTTTCCCAGCCTCCCCTGCTGCTAGACTGTGGGCATATGTCCTACATAAGTACTTTTCTAAATTCTCTAATGATAAGAATCACCTGAGGCGCTTGTTAATGGCTACACAGGTCCATCTCATGGAGACTGATTTAGTGGCTATAAAATTGGGCTGGGAAATGTTTGCCTTGATAAGCACCCAGGTGATTCTCATGATCAAAGAAGCCTGCAACCAAACACTGGCCTAGAGTGGAACCAAGGTTCTTTACCTTGCGTGTACATTAGAGTCACCTGTGGTGCTTTTAAAACCCAGGATTCCTAGAACCCCGCCCCCCCCCCCAGTTTAGACCAATTAAATCAGAATAGTCTCTGGGGTGGATCTCGTGCGTGCTTGCGTGTGTTTGTGTGTGTGTGTGTGTGTGTGTGTGTGTGTGTGTGGCTTCACAAGTGATTCCATTGCATAGTGAAGCTCTAAAACCCCTAGTTTAAGCCAAGACTTTACCAAACAGGTGCTGGGACTTTGATGTAGGAGTGATTCAAGGAGAGGACTACTGTGAGTAGCAGTCAGTGGTAATTGTAGCATGATCCAGTTCCTGGGATAGCAGAGACAGCAGTGCTAGTGAGAGCATCTGTCATCCAGTGATCCATTATCAGTGATCCAAACTATAGCATTCAATAAAGCAGTGTCCCTACTTAGTCCACTCTTTGATCTGATTTGGAGCAATGCTTAAGGTTACATAGTCCTGGGACTGATTCTTCCAGTATTCCTAGCGATCCTGTAAGCTAGCGAACGCTCTTATATTAAAAACTTTCTCTACATAAATCATCCAGAAGTTGTTTCTATTGTTTGCAAGTAATAATGCCAAGTGTTACTAATACAGAGTAGTTGGGGAAAACTCTGACTTTGCAGGAAGGGACCTAAATTTGAGTCCTATGTGACCTCTCTGAGTCTCTATGTCTTTATCTGTAAAATGGGACTACCACACAGTTTTATAAAGCTGTCATGATGAATAAATTAAATGGTAACTCAAAGTGATGTTGACAGGCTCTGGAATCTCTGAGAAGAGCTTAGGGGTAGTAATGTGGAAAGTGGGTAAGGGACATGTCTGAAGGCTCTATTTGTCTAGTAAAAAACAATAGGCTGACTTTGATAATATATTTACATATGTGGTGATTTTGAGGGGTGGCTTATAAAGATTGATGTCCAAAGCCACTCCTGGGAACCGCCACTAGAAAAGGCTTGGCACAAGCCATTAAATGTTATTTTCTTCTTTCATTCCTTGATATTTAACATGCAAAGCTAGTCAAACAGATGAAGCCTAGTAAAGTAAAATTTCAGAGTCTGTAGAAAACTATTGTTCATTAGTTATCTAGTCTACTAAATAAGTCATTTTGATTTATAAAAATTCCAGTATATTTAAAGAACATCATTTACACACACGACATATTTTTTTTCTAATATGCTTAACTATAATCCCAGTTCCTATTTATGGCCCTTCGTTATGTGATTAAGAATCCAATATGTTGTCAATGTCTTCCAATCAGATGGCTATATTTTGAGTTATCCAATGTTAACTCAGTCTTTAAGGTCCTACCATTATTTGGCTGTTGCTATGGCAAAATGGAAATTAAAATTTGAGAATTCCAAATCTGATTATCTTCCAGACAGGTAGAATGCAGACAAAATGTATTCCCATTATGATGACAATTTTTATATAACTTGGCTCTTGGCCAGGCGTGGTGGCTCACGCCTGTAATCCCAGCACTTTGGGAAGCCAGGGCAGGCGGATCACCAGGTCAGGAGATCGAGACCATCCTGGCTAACATGGTGAAACCCTGTCTCTACTGAAAATACAAAAAAAAATAAAATAAAATTAGCCAGTTGTGGTGGTGGACGCCTGTAGTCCCAGCTACTCAGGAGGCTGAGGCAGGAGAATGGCGTGAACCCGGGAGGCGGAGCTTGCAGTAAGCCTAGATCGCGCCACTGCACTCCCTCCTGGGTGAAAGAGTGAGACTCCGTCTCAAAAAAAAAAAAAAAAAAAAGCTTGGCTCTCTATTTCCCCCTTTTCCCACTCTTGCCATATAATTCCCAGACCCATCCTGTCCTCACATGAAGATAAGCCACTTTGTTCACCTAGGATTCAATCATTTATATTTTTCCAATTCATAATTTCTGTACAGACATATACCTATGTATACATCTCATATACAGGCATTTTTTTCTTTGATGATTGTTTTATAAAGATAATATCATATCAAAAATACTCATCTTCATCTTGCAATTATCATTTAATAGTGTTACCTGGAAATCTCTCCAAAATTTTTCCTTTTTTCACTAATTTAAATTTGCATTTTTTCTTCAACTTTTATTTTAAGTTCAGGGGTACATGTGCAGGCTATGCAGGTTTGTTACATAGGTAAATGTGAGCCATGGTGGTTTGCTGTGCAGATCATCACATCACCTAGGAATTAAGCCCAGCATCCATTAGCTATTCTTCCCGATGCTCTTCCTCACCCCACTGCTCCCCTCTAACAGGCCCCAGTGTGTGTTGTTTTCCCCCATGTGTTCACGTATTCTCATCATTCAGCTCCCACTTATAAGTGAGAACATGTGGTGTCTGGTTTTCTGTTCCTGTGTTAGTTTGCTGAGGATAATGGCTTCCAACTCAATCCATGTCCCTGCAAAGGATGTGATCTCATTCCTTTTTATGGCTGCTTAGTATTCCATGATGTCTATGTACCACATTTTCTTTATCCAGTATACTATTGATGGACACTTAGGTTGATTCCATGTCTTTGCTATTGTGAATAGTGCTGCAATGAACATATGTTTGCACGTATCTTTATAATAGAATGATTTATTTTCCTTTGGGTATATACCCAGTAATGGGATTGCTGGGCCAAATGGTATTTCTGCCTCTAGGTCTTTGAGGAATCACCACACTGTCTTCCACAATAGTTGAACTAACTTACACTCCCACCAACAACGTAAAAGTGTTGCTTTTTATCCACATCTTTGCCACCATTTGTTATTTTTTGACTTTTTAATAATATCTATTGCAACTGGCGTGAGATGGTATCTCACTGTGGTTTTGATTTGCATTTCTCTAATGATCAGTGATGTTGAGCTTTTTTTCGTATTTGTTGGCCGCATGTATGTCTTCTATTGAGAAGTATCTGTTCATGTCATTTGCCCATTTTTAATGAGGTTGTTGGTTTTTGCCTGTAAATTTAAGTTCCTTGCAGACTCAATATTAGACCTTTGTCAGATGGACAGAGTGCAAAAATTATCTCATATTTTGAAGCTTGTCCATTTACTCTGATGATAGTTTCTTTTCCTGTTCAGAAACTCTTTAGTTTAATTAGATCCCATTTGTGAATTTTTGCTTTAGTTGCAATTGCTTTTGGCATTTTCATCATGAAATGTTGTTTCATTTTGCATGTTTCAAATTTTCTATAAATAGGTCCATACTATATGCATTCTTCAACAACTTGCTTTTGTTGCTCAAATCATGCTCTGTTACCAAATGAGTACATTTATCTCTTCAGCAACAATGCACTGACCCTATACTAAGGTTTTCATGTATTTCTATTTTATACATATTATATATATGCAATATGTTATTATACTTACTGTAAAATGGTCATTTAGATTTACTCATGTTTTCTACTTTTACCATTCTTTATACCTTCCTGCATCTGCACACTTCCACTAGGGAAGTTTTTAAAACTTCTTAGCTATTATCTCTTCAATGTTGCTTGGTTCCATTCTTGTTTCCCTCTCATCGTAGGCCATCAATTTTAAATACATGTTTAAGCTTCTCACTGTATTGTCTGTCTCCTACCATCTGTTCTATATTTTCTATCTTTTTGTTTCCTTATTGATTATTTCTCCTGAATTATTACCTATTTTACTTACTAATTCTTCAACTGTTAAGCCTAATACTGTAGAACTTGATTTCTCTTACTGTTTTTTTCATTGTTGTTTCCTAGAATTTCTATTTGGTTCTCTTTTAAATCTATGTCATTTTTAATGCTTTCCAATCCTCTGCAAAGATTTTTAAGTTGGTCTTATCTAGAGGAACATATAAAGGTTTAGCTATATTCATCTACATAGTAAAAATCCCATCCAGAAATGTAAGAAAATGGAAATCCTATTTCTATTTTTTCTTTTTTTTTTTTTTGAGACAGTGTCTCACTCTGTTACCCAGCCTAGAGTGTAGTGGAGCGATCTTAGCCCACTGCAACCTCTGCCTCCTGGGTTCAAGCTATTCTGCTGCCTCAGCCTCCCAAGTAGCTGGGATTACAGGCACCTCCCACCATGTCCGGCTAATTTTTTTTTTTTTTTTTTTTTTTTTTTTTTTTTACTAGAGACGGGGTTTCACCATATTGGCCAGGCTGGTCTTGAACTCCTGATCCGCCCACCTTGGCCTACTTCTATTTTATATTTTTTCTGCTGCTTCTTTTTTATAAGTATGTCTTGTTTTCTCCTGAGTCCAAATATATTTCATTTTGTACCAAATACTATATTTGAAAAAAATATATGTAGACTGTAACTTCTTTGGGAGACAATGGTATCTTCTTCTAGAGAAGGTTTCCATTGGTTTCTGCCAGTTGCCTTCAGTCACTTAAGCCTATGTTTATCATAATCCAATTTCAGGGATTGAGAGTTGCTTGGCTGCCTAGGTGACACAAAGTCAGTGACAGTTTGGACAAGCGCCATTTTTCTTTCAGTTTGCCATTACTCTTACAATGCTTTCTTTCAGGTTCTTGGTCTAAAGAAGAGGTTGGCAAGTTGGAACCCATAGGCCAAACCTGGACAACAAGCCAAATCCAGTCCATGGCCTACTTTTGCATATGACCCATGGACCAAGACTTTTTTTTATATTTTTAAAAGTTTGAAAAATAGTCAACAAATAAACTGGAGACCATTTGTGGCCCATAAAGATATTAGTCTCTGGCCGTTTACAGATAAGTTTCCCAACCCCTGGTCTAAAGTATATTTTACTATTTTGCTAGATCACTTTTGCTAGATCCTAGACCCAATTTTTGTCTCTTAGATCAGCAAGGGCTTTTAAAAAGAGACTCAGCTTCTCTGTTACCTATCCCTAATCAGCAAACTATCTCAAGAAAAAGGGGAGTTTTGAATGCCGGGTTCACTTCTCTGTATTTCTGTCTTCTCCCATATGTTTGCCTGGTGATTGTTTACTAATATTTTAGCTCTTTTGTGCTTTTAAGAAGACAATTTTAAAATGTGAATTAAATATAAAAATATTCTTGCAAAAGAATGTAGGTGGCCGGGCACGGTGGCTCACGCCTGTAATCCCAGCACTTTGGGAGGCTGTGGCGGGCAGATCATGAGGCCAGGAGATCAAGACCATCCTGGCTGACACGGTGAAACCCCATCTCTACTAAAAATACAAAAAAAAAAAAAAAAAAAATTAGCCAGGCGTGGTGGCGGGCGCCTGTAGTCCCAGCTACTCGGGAGGCTGAGGCAGGAGAATGGTGTGAACCCGGGAAGCGGAACTTGCAGTGAGCCGAGATCGCGCCACTGCACTCCAGCCTGGGCGACAGAGCAAGACTCCGTGTCAAAAAAAAAAAAAAAAAAGAAAAAGAAAAACAATGTAGGTATAAATTATCTAGTCTGCCATTACCAAAAGGAAAAATCCATAATTTCTTCAGATCTATCTTCCAATTTAAGTATATTAATTTAATTTAACTTACATGTATTAAGTATATTGTTTTAAAATTTCATTTATATTTTACTACTAAAAATTATGTCATTATTTATCAAAGCTTCTTGATAACTTTTATAATCTTTCTGTATATTCACACTTTTAATCTCATATATTTTAAATATAATAAGTATACTTTTAAGTTTTTTGTCTAATTCCAGTATCTAAAGTCTTTTCTTTCTGAATCTTCTGTCATTTCAGATGGCTTTTGTTCATGATGCCTTCATTTTTAGTGTTTGTTTTTTGTATGTGAACTCATTTCTTAGAATTGTAACTATGTAAATTCTTTGAGGACTAGCAATATCTTAAATTAGATACCCTTACTGACCCTTCCACTGAAAATAACTAATACAGAGAATAATGTAAAGTATTCGCTTTACATTAAGGGAGGAGTATGGGAATAGTTTACATAAAGGGATTAAAAATAGTTCACATACATACTCCTCCCTTAATGTAAAGGGAATAGAGGGTGCATTCTTCTATGCACTTGGGGAGGAGAACTGGCTACAGGTGAGCTTCATCAATCTTGTCCACACAGGCTACACTATTATGGGGCAGTCATCAATTGATCACTTATTAATTGATGATTAATGACTATATTTAGTTTCTTATAAAAATGTGTGAATGATTTTGATTACCATTGCAACAGTTCAAAGAAAACTTGCCTGACCTTCAGGGTTGAAGCTAAGATTTCCACATTTTATTGATATAACTTGAGGATATATCAATTTTCTTTTTTATTAAAATTAATGTTAATTTTCTATATAGCACTGCCGCATTTATGTAGACTGAACAATAAACAACCAAGTGTCTAGGGGTTGACTTTCATACTGATTTACCTTTCTGCATTTCCATTCAAACTAACTTACTTTTTAGGGAATACTTTACATTAAGGGAGGAGTATGTATGTGTATACATTACATAAAGGATCCCCTTTATATTAAGGGAGGAGTATGTATGTGAACTAAATGAAATATGATCAGAAGTAGTATGTGTCACTTCCAGACTCGGGCATTTAAAAGTCTCTGTCTAATTGCTAGCTCTCTTTCCCAGCCTCATTATGGAACACATTGTGTTGAAGTGACGGAACCAGAAGGTAGACACTCTGATTGCTAAGTCCCTTCATGGTGTACAGCTAGCTGCCCAGGAGTTTCATCTGACTTGCATTGTACCCATGTGCAACAAATGAAGTGCAAGAAATGAAGAGAAATGTCATTAAGATTTCAGAGCTAACTCATTACTTCAGCATAGCCTAGCATTTTCCCAATGGATTCTATCCTACAAAAGCCAAAACCACAGACATTTTGAGATACACTGAGATCATAACCTGAATCGTTACAGACATGAAGCTAGTAATGTCATCAGAAGCAGCAGTTACGACAACTAACTTTTATTTAGTCCTTGCTTTTTGCCAAACATAGTAGTAAGCACTTTGCATACTTCAATTCCTCCATCTCCACCATAACCCTATGAGGTAGGTACTATTAGTATCCCTCTTTTAACTTATGAGAAACCCAAATCTTAGGTAAATTAAGTAATTTCTCCAAGGTCCCCGAGCATGGAAGTTGTCCTGGCTGACAATAAATTATAAATCTTTCTACTCTTTGGCACTGCCTTTAACACACTTCTTTCATTTAAGAAACATTTATTCAGGGCCTGCCAGGCCCTTAGCTGCTGCATCTATAGAATCCAGGAACCAAAATGGGTTACTTTCCTCACAGGGGCTAATGTCTAATTTCATGCAACATAAAATCATATATACAATCACATGTTTTCACACATACTAACATTCAAGTCGCTTCTTGGTCCAGTTAGCGTACTCACAGACCTAAGATGCAACTATTTGCTCTTATGCACTCATCAAACAAATGCCAGGCACTGGGAATACAAACTCCAGAGACATGGTACCAATTCCTAAAGTAGAATACCTTTTAGGATAGAAATCAATCAAATAATCTTTTTTTTTCTGGAGGAATGGTTAAATCGAGGCTATGAAGAAACCCACAAGATAAACTCAGATTCTATTACACTTACAAGTCACAGTTGAGACTTTATCTAGCATATATTTTAAAGTCACACATCCTCTGTGAAGTCAGTGGGACTCTGGATATTTTAATCAACACTAATTAACCCATACTGATAGTTACAGCTTATTTTTCTTAGAATGCAGCTATTCTCACCCTTAGACAGCTTTTTCTATTATTTGTAAGGAGCCCTGTTTCAAGACATAATAATACTATTACTACTAACAATTATAATGATGTGCTAAACTACGTACATATATACATACATATATATGTGTACACATATATATGTGTATATACATACATATATATGTATATACATATATTTAATCTTCATATCAATCCTATGAGGGAAATGCTGTGATTATCCCCTATTTTATATATGAGGAAACTGAAGATCAGAGGTTGTGATTTTTCTGAGATCACATAACTTGTAACCTCAGAAAAATTGTAGCTTGCTACTCCCCATATACACCTGCTCATTTCCCAATCAGCGTAGTTAGCCCATCCTCAAGTGTAAGTGGAAGTTAACATAACATAAATTGACCTACTAATTGAGATCATAACCTGAAATCTTTCAGACAAACACATTAAGCCAACCTTTCTACAGAGCAGCCAGTCTATGCCACAACCTAATTTACAACTATCTTAATCCCAGCTGACAACAAGAGACAGAGCCTGGCTGCAGGCTTCTCCTGAGGAGAGAAGCCATAGCCTCCACCCATTGAATGGACCGAGAGTAGGTCTTGACTCAGAAGCAACCAATCCATATAGATTAACCAGTGACGTACGAAGGTCCAATGATAATTCTCAGGCCAACCAGATTCTAACCCCAGAATAGGAATTGGAAAAAAAAAAACAAAACACGCATAAAGAACAGCCAGTTGATAGTTCATACATTCATTCAACAAATACTTAGATTTCTAAATCAGCTGCTATGTGCCAGGAATTGTTCTAGGGGATACAATAGTGAACTAAAACACACACACACACACACACACACACACACAGAGCTCATTGTCTAGTGCGAAGAAGAAAAAATAAATAATTGGTTAAAATAGGAGTATCGCAGATGATGATGAAAGCTATAGAGAAAAGTCAATCAAGGAAAGCGATAGGGAGAAATACCAAGAAAGCTGAGGTGGAATAAGGTGAAAGTAGCAGGTGATGAAAATGAAAAAAAAATTTTTTAGGAAAGGTAAAAAATGCCTTCTAGGCCATTGTACCCTGATTGAAATGGTAAGTTACAGGGGGCTTCAGAGAAGGAGATTGACAGGATGTAACTTAAAATTGAAAAGGATCACTGTGGATGCTATATTGAGATTAGATAGCAGAGGTTAAGGGTAGAATTAGAGAAACAAGTTAGGAGCCTATTATAATAATCCAGAAAGAAGGTAGTGGAAACTTGGACCAGGGTGGGAATAGCAGAAGTAGAAAGAAATGGTTGAGTTTTGGTTATAATTGGCAGTAGAGCCAACGGGATTTGCTGAAGTACTGAATGTGGGATGTGGGAGAAAAAAGGGTCTTGAATAACTCTTGCCTCTGTAACTAGAATAATGGACCTGCCATCTTCTGACTTAGAGAATGCTACAGATTGGTCACATTTGGGGTAGATACGTACTTGTTTTAAATGTATTAAGTTCAAGGTTAAATATATTAAGTTCGACATTAGCTACTAATGTGGAGATGTTAAGAATGCCTCTAGATATATGAGTCTGGTGTTTGGAGAAGAAGTCTAGGCTAGAGATACAAATTTGAAAAACATCAACGTATAGATGGTATTCTAAACCATGGAACTGGGTAAGTCAAGAGGGAATTAATATAGATAGGGATAAGATCTGAGGACTAAGTCCAGGGGTAGACAAATATTTAAGAGTAGAAGATGTAAAGAAAACAGCAGAGAAAATGAAGAAGGAGTAGTCCATAAGGTAGAAGGAAAATCAGGAGAGGACACGTTCTGAAATTCAGGTTAAGGTATTTCAAGGAGGAAGGAATGATTAACTGTATCAAATACTACACGTAATTCAAGTATGGTAAATAATGATAACTGATGATTGAATTCAATAATGAGAAGTTCTTTGACCTGGACAATAACTGTATTAATAGAGTGGTGAGGATGAAACACTGATTTGAGTAGGTTCGAGAGGAAATGTGAAGAGAGGAAATAAAGACAGTGGGTACAGGTAACTTTTTCAAGGAGTTTTCTTATAAAAGAAAGCAGAGAAATGGGACAGCATCTAGAAGTGGATGTGGGGCCAAGGTGGGTTTTTTGTTTGGTTGGTTGGTTTAGTTTGTTTTTAAGAATGAGGAAATTGCATCATGTTTTTATGCACACAGGAATTATCCAGTTAACAGGGAAAAACTGACAGTGAAAGAAAGGGAAAATTGCTGGGATGCTGTTTTTGAGTAGGCAAGAAGGGATGAGACTGACTGTACAAGTGAAGGGCTGGGCTTTAGTTAAGTCATCCATAGCACCAGAAGAGAAGGCTGAATATACAGGCAGAGATACAGAGGTTGGAGTGTGCGAGTGGTCATTCTCTTCCGGTTTAGGAATAAAGAAGCAAAGACAACTAACAGAGTCCAGTTAATGACAGAGTTCTGAAGTGGAGATCTGTGAACAGTTTCAGCTAAGGGAGTGTGACAAGAAAACCCAGTCCTTGGAGCTGCTTCCCTGGATACTGAGTGACAACTGTCTGTGGGTTCACTGAGATACACCACATACCAGTTACTTGAAGGATCTTGAGTACTTCTTTGTTCCTCAAAATCAAGAGAGTTTAACACACCTGCAGAAACTTTAGTCCCAGGTGTCATATGTGCGCCAGCTTATCCTTCACTCTAGTGGATCTTGAATTATGTTTTTCCCAGTCCAATTTGTTATGGTTTTAACAAAAAAAAATAATGTTAACTACATGACGTTTTTGGCCCCTCCCAACCATATGAGACTTTGATACTAGGAATACCAGACATTACGGTAGGTACCTGATGATATGAGTCTGCTCCTGGGTTGTGGCTGTTTTGAGACTAGCTATTTTGATTGCTACTATGTTTCTCTATTGCCATATTCATATGCCCATTATCATTTCTCCTCAACTTTTTATATATGCAAAATAATTCTGTGATGAAACATTGATGCCCAGATTTGATCGATGATTAATTTCCCATAAACTTTCATGTTTGTGATAATAATTTACTCCAATAAAAAGCTCTATCATAGAGTATACCTACAGTGTCTAACATCGTTTATACAACTTTTTAGTGGTTTTCTTATCAGCTCACAGTATGACAGCAAGTTTAGTATAAACATTTAGTCCAAATAAAAGGGAAAGAATTAGTTAGTTGTGACTATGAATGGGAAATTCCTTTAGCCAACGGAGGCATCTATTGCATTCCCTCTATGATTTAAACAGTTAAAACTTTTATGATTTGCATTTTAGGGCCACCACAAAGTAGGCATGAAAATGTTGATATTTTATATACTTAGCATGACAATCAGAACCAATTAGCCTTTAATCAAATACCACATTTCTATAGCAGGTTAAAAAAATACTAGGCTGTGGCAGCATGTATACTCTCAAATTTCAGGAGCTTAACACAACTTAATTCTGTGTCTTGTTCTTATAATAGTGCAAAGTGGCATATGTTTTCTACAGGCAGCTTTCCTCCATGCAGTGATGCAAGTACCTCGGCTCCTTCCAACTTATAGATTTGTCATCTTCAGGGGCCTTACTATTTGCATGCAGCCAATGAAAATATAAGGAGAATAAAAATGATACACCTACTTAACATTTTAAAGTGCGCAATACCATATAATTAACTGTAAGTCCTGTGTTGTATAACAGACGTGTTGAACTTATTCCTCTGGCATAACTGAAACTTATATACCTATGAGCAACATTTCTCCATTTTCTCCTTCCGCCACCCCCAGGTCGGGGCAACCACCATTCTATTCTTCATTGCTATGATTTTGGCTATTTTAGATACCTCATATAAGTGGAATCATGCGGTATTTGTCCTTCTGTGACTGGCTTATATGTAAAGATGATAGGTCTCATGTTAAGTGTTTCTACCACAAAAATAATAACACAAGGAAATTTTTGGTGATAATGGTTATGTTCAATGCCATTGATTGTGGTGATGGTATCACTGGTGTATACATATTTGCAAACTCATCAAAATGCATACATTAATTATGTGTAATTTTTATGTATCAATTATACCTAAAAAGCTTTAAAAAAGAATAGGTACAACCATTTCATAAAAGCCTTGGAATCAAAGTGACATACATAATTTTCACTCCCATTCCATTGCAAAGATTAGTGAATGGCCACAACTAGAATTGAAGGGGTCTAGAAAGCGTGGTTTCTGGCTGGCTAGCTGCCATCCAACAATACCTAACGAGACACAAATTGTGTTGCTAAGTGTGATGGTTGGTCTCCAGAGTTGACTCTAAATGAGCCATGCCTCGTAGTATGCATGCCTTTGGGTATCCCCGTCCCACATTAAATCTGAATTTCTTTCTAACTTTCTTTAATCAATAGAATTCAGCAGAAGTGACCCAAGGTCTGTTCTAGAATAACGGCTTCCACTTTCGTGCTCTTGAATATGTTGTCCCACCATGTAAGAAGTCCAGTAACACCAATCACGTGACCGTGTAAAAAGGCCATATGGAGATTGGATGTGGGTTGTCCCATCACCCCAGCCAACCCCAGCCTTTCCAACCAAGGTGCTAGACTATGTAAGTGAAGACATCTTGTATGTTTTAACCCCAGTCATCTTCTGACTGCAGCTGTGTGAGGGATCCCAAGCAAGTCCAGCAGAAGAATCACCACATTCAGCTCAATCAATACAGTCATGACAAAATATAAAATGGTTGTTGTGTTAAGCTGCCACATTTTGTGGTAGTTTGACATGCAGCAATAGATAACTGAAACTCACAGCTAGCCATCTTTGCCAAAGTTTCCAAACAAATCGCTTTCTTTTACTTTAACGGTTTTTCTTGACAAAGACCAGACAACTGTATTTTTCTTGAGATGAAAATAAAACCTTTTATTCTTGTATAGTAAAGGTGAAATATAACACAAGGTATCAAATTTCTAGAGCATCCAATGGCCACATCACATTGGTCTGCTTTGAAGGGTCAGGAAGTTCCTTTAGGAGTAGAGAGACCTGCTGACATTTTTCTAATACTACTTTATAAGTGGCTGTTTAGACTGCTTACTTGTAAGTTCAGCTCGAATAAAAGTAGAAGGAAGAGGAACAAAAGAGAAAACATGGAAAGAAGGAAGAAAAAGGGAGGTGGGAAGGAGAGATCTTATGAGTTACTAAACAAATTACATGAGGAGCAAAAGTAAATAAGAAAATGACACAAGAAGAGAACTGCCTATGAAGTCAAGAAGATCAAAGATATCTAATGGCATAACATGCAGTTCAATATGGGAGAGTGAATGAAGGGGAATTAGCATATTTTATTTATCATAGAGTAAACTGATTTGTAGTAATATGAACTGAGTATAATTATATATTTTGCACTGCAATGTGGAATAATTTCCACTAATTATTTTCAATTTTGAGGGAGTTTTTTTTTTCTTGAAACTCTTCTCAATCTATGGACAAGTAAACTGTGGCCTGAAAGATAAGTAAAAACCAATGGGAAATGAGCCTTTCCAAAACATGGACCCCACAAAACCCCTGAGGCAGTAAAGAGGTTGTCATGATGAAAGAACTGAGAGTCAGTCAGTTGAGATGAAGCAGAATAACAGAAAAAGTGACTGCAGGCTAACTGTGTAGATCAAGTTTGTCCAGTGGGCCACATGTGCTCCAGGACAGCTTTGAATGTCACCCAACAAAAATTTGCAAGCTTTCTTAAAACTTTATGAGATTTTTTTTTTGCAATTTTTTTTAGCTTATCAGCTACCATTAGTGTTATTGTATTTTATGTGTGTCCTAAGATAATTCTTCCTCTT
Source organism: Homo sapiens (assembly GCF_000001405.40). Taxonomy (NCBI): domain Eukaryota; kingdom Metazoa; phylum Chordata; class Mammalia; order Primates; family Hominidae; genus Homo; species Homo sapiens. The sequence continues at coordinate 147,735,376 of NC_000023.11, forward strand.
ACAGTGTGGCCCAGGGAAGCCAAAAGATTGGACACCCCTGACATAGAGTTTTTGAGAAACTTTGGCTTTTAAGGACACTGAGTAAGATCAGGAGCCATTGCAGAGTTTTGAGAAGAGAAATAGGAGAATACAATACCTCAAGCAGAGCCTTCCCAGAGCAAGTTGTCAGGCTCTGGTCAAGACTTAACTGCTCTCTGACTCATCACACCAAGTATGCTCCTCCCATTGCTCCAGTCTCCCTCTACATTGTATATTCAGTCAGGAATCATTTCTTGCATTTCTATTTTATGTCAGGCCTTGTGTTTCAAGATGAGCAAGACACAGTCCCTGCCTCCTCAGAACTTGGAATCTAACAGGAATTTAAAAAAAAAAAATGCTGTCCTTATCAATATTAATTGCAGTTTAATTAGAGGTTTCATTGAAATGTTCTAATATTTTTCACTTGCTTGCTCTCAAGGATTGCTAGGGGTCTGGTGTTGAACACCGGTATTTTAGCTTGCTTTCCCATAAAATGGAAAATGTGAAACCTAACATCCAAAGTCTATTTACCAGTATGATTTGAGGTTTGCTTTGTCTTAATTTCTGATTGGCATTTCCTAAGCAGCTTTTAGTTTCTCACTCAGTTGAATATTTAATGGCCTAATAAGCAAATACTTGAGAGGTCACTAGTTTAAATAACCTGTCATCCTTTTTGTAATGAAAGAAATCATTTTGTCAGCTGGCTGCTTCACACAATCCTCAGAAAGCTTACGACACATTTGTTTGCAACCAGCAATTAGCACGACTTTCACCGCCCCCCCCCAACCACCCCCCCACCGCCCCAACCCCCACCCGCCCACACACACCTTTTTATTGTTTTCCCAGGGAGTCTGCATAAAGAGCAGTTAAGTGAGTTAAGCTGGCCATTCCTTCAGATAGCCCAGAGAGATCTGGAACCCACAGGAGCCACCTGTCAGTGCTTGTGGGTGATTGGGAAAATTCCTGGAGGACACCTGTGGCAACTCTCTGTTGTCCCTAGGCATAAAGCCCAAATCACTTTCTTTAATGTTTGTAATTTATGTTTGCCTACTATTTTATACCTTTTCCTCCTAAAGCTATTATATTACTTACAGTGTTTATAGTCTGAGTTTCCAAACTTTTCCTTTTTTTAACTTTTATTTTAGGTTTGGGGGTACATGTGAAGGTTTGTTTCATAAACATGTTTCATGGAGTTTTGTTGTACAGATTATTTCATCACCCTAGGTATTAAGCCCAGTACCCAACAGTTATATTTTCTGCTCCTCTCCCCCCTCCCCCTCTTCCCTCCTGCCTAAAGTAGTGTCTGTTGTTTCCTCCTTTGTGTTCATAAGTTCTTATCATTTAGCTCCCATTTATAAGTGAGAACATGCAGTATCTGGTTTTCTGTTCAGCGTTAATTTGCTAAGGATAACAGCCTCCAGCTCTATTCATGTTCTTGTGAAATACATGATCTTGTTCTTTTTTATGGCTGTATGGTAGTCCATGGTGTATAGGTACCACATCTTCTTTATCCAGTCTGTCACTGACGAGCATTTAATGTTGATTCCATGTCTTTGCTATTGTGGATAGTGCTGCAATGACCATTTGTGTGCATGTGCCTTAAATGATAGAATGATTTATATTCCTTTGGGTATATACCCAGTAATGGGATTGCTGGGTCGAACAGCAGTTCTGTTTTTAGCTCTTTGAGGGACTGCCATACTGTTTTCCACAGTGGTTGAACTAATTTACACTCCCAGTTTCCAAATTTGTCTAATTCTTCCAGTTTTCCTTTTAATTTTGAAAAGAAACATCTCCAGTAAGTGGAAGTAAGAAGAAAATAACACATCATCTCTAGAAAGCTAATACTCTCTCAGCAATAACAGAGACAGGCAGTGCATTCTAAAGCACTTTGGAAACTGTTAAACCCTAAACTAGTGTATGTGGTTAATACAATGATGATGATGATGATAACATGGTCCTGGTATCTGTGCTACTAATTAACTATATGACCATAGCTGATTGCAAAACTTCAGCTTTCATATCTCCAATGCCCATGCATTCCTTGCTAAGGCTTTGAGAACAAATAAAACAAATACAGCCATTGAACCAATACTACTTTAAACACGTCAATGGAAATACAGTGATATATTAAACTCAAGCTGTTCCTAATCACACGTTGGACTATATACTCTGTCAGCTTCATCCAGTTCTGAGAATTGGAGCTGCTTGACTCTTGCAACTAAACTTGATGAGTTCTACACACTGCTAGAAACAAAGTTCTGCACAAGTCACAACCAATGAATAGAATTATCAAGCAGAACTACTAAATCATATCTCTATATGAAATCAGGTTGAGAAGGCGTCAATTTGTTTCGCAACATGTTTTTCTATTTCAGGTGAGAAGCACTGTCTTGACAACCCCCCGTTTAGAGGTGGTATCAAAGTGAAGACTTTTCTGTCATTCCTGGAAACCAAATCCTACACTTCTACTGAGTGTGTGAAGAATAGAGTGTGGCAAAATACACTTTCTTGGAATATGCTATTAGATCATCTGCCCTTCCTTTCTCACATGAGTATCTCAGCAAATGAAAGCCACTCTTTTGAAGATAAACTATGAAGTACTTTCTGTTTTCTATATGATCATTTGAATGAATGCAAATTGGAGAAGGGTTTGTTCTTTAAGGATGAGAACATTTCCTTTGTGGTTTCAGTGAATGGAATGTAAAGTATGAATCAAGAAAGATCTAAGAGTGTAGTAAGATTTTGATGAAGGTGTTGAAATCATGTAAAGGAATCTCAACAGAAACACTGTTATGGTTCCTTTTCTGGATGGGAAAAACTGTGGACAATTCAACAATCATTTATTGAACTCCAAGTGAGGTGCCATGCACTGTGCTAGAACCGGGATTGGCTATTGGCTACATAATTTGCAGAGCCCAGGGCAAAATGAAAATGCGAGGTCCCTTATCCAAAAATCCTTGTGCATTATCTAAGACTGTGGCAGCAGAGCACTAAACAAAGTGAGAGACACTTCAAAGCACAGAGCCCTGTGTAACTGTGCAGGTCACACACCCTGGCTGGAGCTCTGTAATTATGCAGAGAGGAAGTGACAGTAACTGACTTGGCTCTGCCTGTGGGTGTCAGGGGAAGTTGCACAGCAGATTTGATAACTGAGTGGGGCCTTGAGGAGCAGACATTCTATAGACAGAGAAAGAAAGAGGATCGTGGGGACAGAAAAACATTCTACAAGGAAAGAACAGTATTTGTTTACCCATTTAACAGACATTGAACTCCTATTTTGTACCAGGCACTGTGATAGACATCAAACATCTGAAGATGAAAAAGATACAACCCGTATCCTCCAGGAACTTATAGTCTAGCGGAGAAGACAAACATGAGAAAACAGGCATTCATTCATGTAGTCAACAAACATTTATTGAGCATCTACTATATGCAAGTATGGGATAGGTTCCTGGGATAAGATTGTAAATATCTCAACTTGATCCTATGGTCTACTGGGAAGATGGCCAATTTAACAAGCAATCATATTAAAATGTAGTATGTGCTATGAATGGATAACCCAGAAAGAATATCTAACCCATTGAAAGTAGGAGTGGGGTAGAAAATTAAAGAAAGCTTTCTGCAAGAGTTGAGGGAGTGGAGTTATAAGTCATGTTGTAAAATTTAGACTTTATACTAAGGGCAGTGAGAAGGCATTAAAACTTTCAAATAGAAGTAAGACAATGACTTTAAAATCACACTGCCTATTGTGTGGATTAAGGGCAAGAAAAAATCACAGTATATTTGAGGACTAATATTCTGAAAGAGAAAAATACACATTTCTATCATCCCACTAATGGCTAGCAAGCAAAAATCGTCTAACTCAGTTATCTGTTTGCCAAGTAATGAAGCATCACCTAAGGCTTTATCTGTGTTGTCATAAGCCAGACTTGGCCAACAAGAATGGTAATATGTGTATGACTGTGTGTGCATGCATGGGTGTGAGGAACCTCATATTATCATCAAAACCCATCATGATCTCTTTCAAAATGCAGGCATTTTGCCAGGAGATGCACATATTGAAATAATGATAGCACCCAGACAAGTCATAGACTAGATCAAGTCCTTCTTCAGCCAGGGACTGGTTTTCTTATTTTTTGCTTTTACTAGTACTATCTTTGAAAGACAATAGATGTTCAATAAATGCTTTCTTAGCAAATCCATCAGCTTGGTATTTAAGAGCATTGCTTCGTGTGATTTGACATAAGATTACATGGTCATGCTTGCAAGCTATTTTCCCATCTTTGTTATCTGACACAGCAAAAGAATGTGTGCCATAATCTTTGAACACTGTTTCGGAAGAAGTTGTTGTCGGAAATCTCTTTTTAAAACAGTGATAGATGTCCTTTTGGCGATACTATTATTATGGCCTTTCTGAAGAGATGTGGTTTGTGATGTCACTGTAGTCAGGACTGAAATGGGGTGGGGCTACAGTAAAACATCCCTGGAGAATTTGAAAGTGGATAAAATAAGGTTACCCTCTGTGAGTTAAACTTTAAAATCAAGATACAATGAATCAGAGCAGGGATATACAATTACCTTTAAAACACAGAACGTCTCCCAAGTCTGTAAGACTGGACAATAACCAGATGGAACGCATTTACATGACTAAAGAAAAACTGTGTCCACCAGTAGGTGGCTTGATTACCTAGAGAAGCAGAAGACGTTTAATAGTAGCAGAGGCAGATGTTGGTAGCATCATTCTAAACCCTGTCATAGGATAAGGGTTTCTAACTCCATCTTCCAGGCCATCCTTGTTTATCTTTAAAACATTATACATTCCATTCATATGATGCATTCACCAGGCTCTGGTTCCGTTATCATTATGTAACCTTCTGATTATGGTTTTGCTTTCCAAGGAGATCAGCCTATACCTGCCATCCTCACCCTTGAATGCACATTAGAATCACCTGGGAAACTTGAAAAACTAGAGATGCCTGACCACAGAGATTCTGACTTAATTGATTTGAGAAACGGCCTGGGCATCAGAAATTTAAAATCTCCCCAGGTGAATCAAATGTTATGCCAGGGTTATGAATCACTGGCTTATTAGAAGAGAATATGTGGTTCTACAGACTTAGGGTACACTGGGTCTGATAACAAGGTGCCAAGTGTGAATTCCTGTTCAGAAACTCAGAAGTAACATAAAAATAGTTCCCTTTATTTTTCCATAGCTTTAATTTCTATTTTGAGTCCCAAGTGGGAGGAATTCAACCTTGGTCTCCTCCCTTTCTCCTGAGTTGCTAAGTTAGTGAGAAGACATTAGTGTGATAGGTTCAGAGTCTTGTTCTGGGTCTCAATTCTTCTCATTCGCATCCACTAAGTGGTCCTCATTCCCATCTGGTCATTGGTCCTCAGTCCACACAGGTCACTGCCACATCCTGCTTGTCCTGACCACAAGGTCTCTTCAAGTTTACCATTGATCTCTGCTATGTCTGTGTAGCTCTCAGGTGCACAAGGAATATTCTGCTGCTCCTTCAACTCCTTTGCAATTCAGGACATTATATGAGGCTTTCTCAAGCCCACCCACTAACCTCACCATTCAGACATTTCTATGTTGGGGTCCCACTGCTTCACTAGACTCTATTTGGGAAAAGGGAGGAGGAAGCACAGGCCCCCTCTACTCCCAAATTTCAAGAACTGTTTAAAATTATCACTGTGCTCCTCCAACTCTGGGGCTCAACCTAAGGAGGCAAAGGCAAGCTCACTTACTCAAGGGCCCCCACCAAAATTTAAGCTCTCTGACTTCCCACTGACTTCCTTTCCCTTAGTCTAAAGAATCGTTAGTTGAAACAGAGAAATTGTGCTCTCATCAAAGCCAAACTTAAAGTTCACGATTACTGCTGTGGTTCTTCCTTCCCACTCATCACCTTTCCCAGGGCAAGGCTTTTGAACGTCAAAAGCCAAGAATTGACTTCTTCATTCTAGTCTGTCATCTTTCCGCAGAGGCAAAAAATGTGCTGCATTAATTGACAAAGAGGAGAGGGTTGTTTAAAATGCCAGGGAAATAAGCAGAGGTTATATGATTATAACGTGTGAGGTTCTATATATTTTCTCAAAGGAAAAATATTGTCTTGCACAACATTAACAGTTCTCATTTTAAAGTAATAAACTGGGATTTAAATTACTATTTGGATTTTCATGTCAGTGTACCCATGACCATGATTTTTAACTTTCTTTGCATCGTTCATGGACCTCTTTAGCAATCTACACCAACTATCAACTTTCCCCCCTAAAAAAATGCAATAGGCACATGTTTCGCACAGTACTGCTGACCTAAAGGAAAAGAGTATGTTGGTCACCCCAGTGCATATTCTCATCCCTGTGAAAACTATTTCTGGGGACATTAATAACTACTCATTCTGTTTTTACACATCAGTAAAATGTATAAAAACATTTTACACACCAGTAAAATGTATAAAAACATTTTACACACATGAATTTGGTCACTACGAATCCAGCTCTGAGAACTGAATCCACTCTCAGTAGCCCAACTAAACATGTCCTTATGGTTGCACAACTGACAGATGGCCCTGAACTGAAGCCAAACACTGTAAGGCCTTCTGTGTTAAAACAGCAGCCTTGCCTCCAGCACACATATTCTTTCTTTTGAATTTTCAGTGAATAGGGCTTCTTATTCGCACAGCAAAGCAATCTACCAGCAAGACACACCTGTGTCAAAGACTGTGGTGAAGAAAACAGTCCCAATCTAATATGGCAGGAACAGGTAGAATATGGACCATCTAGTACAGAGCTCTGCCAACTTCAGCCCACAGGCAATATACAGCTCAACACCACCTGTTTTTGTAATAAAGTTTTATTGGAACACAGCCGCACTCATTTATTTACACGTTGTCTGCGGCTGCTTTCCTGCTACAATGGCAGAGCTGAGTAGTTCTGAGAGAGACTATACGGCCTGCAAAGACTTAAATACACGTTATCTGGCCCTCTACAGAAAAAATATTGTTGACTCCCGCTCTAGAGCCATGCTTCTCAAACTTTCATGTGCTTATGAATCACCGCGGGATCTTGTTAAAAAAATGCAGATTCTGATTCAGGTGGAGGGTGGGACTAGAGATTCTGCGTAAATGACAAGCTCTCAGGTGATACCAATGCTGATGATCAGGGACCATCCTTTAGGTAGCAAGAATCCAAAACTCTGAATTGCTGGGTTATTCACTGAGTGCTCCCCTGTGTCTGAGGAAGATCCTCAAGGAAAGTTTCTCATCTTTACAATTGGTGAATACATGTATCTCGCAGAGTTGTTAATTATACAAGGTCTATATTTAGAACCTCACACAGTACCTGGCACATAGTTGTCTCTCCATAAATGGTAGCTAGTTCAGTACAATGTTCTGCTTTTTGTCTTTACCTATCCTAATAGAAGAGGTTCAGAAAACTCTCACGTTTGGAAAGACAAATCACCACTGAAATATAAAATGATCCTACTATTTTTCAAAGCTCCAAGTTTTCTTGGGGACAAATTAAGTTCTATTGTCCAATATGCAAACATCATCTTGTAGTATGACTTAAATATACACATTTTTAAAAGATACATGTATTTTTAAAAGTTCTATTGTCCAGTTTTCCAGACCTTTCACTAAAGGGTGGAGGGTCTTACCTGTCCGTTTTAAGCTTTTCACTGTAAGCTCAACTGAGGTCCAATTCATGGAGAGAGAAAATGTTATTTCTAGCTTAGATTTTTTCTGTTCAATTCCTCTTTCTATTCTTTGAGAACACATTAGATAATCTTGTAGCTCAGGTAGCACATATACACGAGGTACAGATATGTATGGACTACTTACCCTGAACAGGCATACCAACATATACACTGCACCTTGAGTTCAAATGTCTTTCACTGCTTCTTCTCAAATGCTTTTGGCAACTGAGAACAAAGAAAAAACTGCCTTCATATGCTCTGAGATTATATCAGTTGAAATAATGCCTCAAGTTATGAGAGTGGCTTCTACCACTTTTAAGTGGTTCAAAGAGTGAATGGGAACTATTCATTCACTCTTTTAACCATGAGTACATTCATATATCCAAACTCGCCATTGTATACATTAACTACATGCAGTTTTTGTATGCTAACTGCACCACAATAAAGCTGGGTGGGGAAAAGGTGTAAGTGGGAACAAAAAAATTGTTGAGGCATTGGCTTATTCAAATGGCATAACCTTTTTTTTTTTTTTTTTTGAGATGGAATCTCGCTCTGTGGCCCAGGCCAGAGTGCAGTGGCGCGATCTCAGCTCACTGCAAACTCCGCCTCCCGGGTTCACGCGATTCTGTTGCCTCAGCCTCCCGAGTAGCTGGGACTACAGGCGCCCACCACCACACCCGGCTAATTTTTTGTATTTTTAGTAGAGACGGGTTTCACCGTCTTAGCCAGGACGGTCTCAATCTCCTGACCTCGTGATCCGCCCGCCTCGGCCTCCCAAAGTGCTGGACCTCAGTAAAATGTGTTGGATATACAGATTCCCAGTATATGGTAAGCCAGAGACCCCAAAATGATACTTGTCTTAACCTGCTAGTCATAGAGAACTGACGGCCTTCCTGGATTCAGTGGATTTTAAAGAATAATTATGAAGGATTATTCAGACCTGACAAGCTGTTTCAAAACTATACTGGTTATTTACCCATTTTCTCTCAGCCTCAAACCCACTTTCTCTACTCTGTTCTGTGATCCTGGGGCTGGGACTCACACACCACATTTTTCAGACTCTTATGCCAGCTGGCTCCCTGTTGGTTCTGTTCATAAGAGGAACTAGCAGGAGACTAGAAGGTAAGCGGAGGAAAGAACAGACTTCATTACTATTTGAGGTTACTGTTGAAATGGCTTCAGCAGTATAGAACAGCTTTGGCTCTAGCATCCTGCTTCTTTGGGAACTCCAACATATGTGAAATCTGTTCCCTGTATTAAACCCTTGCTACTTGAGACACCTAGAGTAAATTGGTTTTCCTGACTAGAGCTAACTCAAAGTTATCAGGTCAAGACCAATACACCAATAAAAGAGGTCCCCAGAACAACAAGAGTCTCAGCCTCCTCAGCGGAGTTGTACATTTTATTTACTTAGGCGATGTTGTTCATCATTTCCCTTGGTTGCTATGTGTGCTGAGGGCTGGAGCTTACATTCAACACTCTATGGACTAGAGCATGCTAGTTCACCCAAAGCTGGGGAACAAAGAAGAAATAGCCATTCTCATCATACAATTCTTATAGTGACCCATCATAGTATAGTGGAAAGCACTCAGACTCTGGAGCCGCAATGTCTGTAATGATAGCCACTAGCCACATGGAGCTATTTGAATCTAAATTAGTGTAATTAACATTTAAAATGCAGTTCCTCTGTCTCACTAGCAACATTTTTACTATTCAATAGTCACATGTGGCTAATGACTACTATATTGGGCAGTTCAGATATAAAACATTTCCATCATTACAGAAAGTTCTGTCAGATGATGCTGCTTTAGAATCTCAAATCCTGGCCCAGCTACTCCCTAATTGTGTGTTTTCGGGCAAGTTATTTTAGCTCTCTGAGCCTTAGTTTTCTCATCTGTGAAGTGAGATACTAAGAGAATCCACTTCACTGATAAGCATCCAGTGAGATCACATAAATAAAGTATTCAGCAGAATGCCTAGCACATAGATAAAAATGATAATAGTCATCTCTCCAAATAAACTAAAAAAAATCCTTGAAAAAAAATATCCTGCAGCCTGATTCATTGGCACACTCTCCAGAGTCCTGCATGTGGTACACCCTCAGCAAATGTTTATGAAATGCTAGGAAAACAATTGGCTAAAAAATGGAACTGCCCTTTTTACACTGTACCCAAGCAAACCAGAATGCCTTTGACATTTTATATTTCCCAGAGAAAGAATTATGCAGCTTTCTAGTAAGCTCCCTTTCATTTTGAGAAGTGCCAGGTAATTCCAATTTCATAGGGGTAAACTTCAAAACCATGAGCAAAGTAGAAAACCATCCAGGTTTAAGATAAGCTCAGGAATTTTTAAGTAACAGGTAAATTACCTCAGATAAAAACTGCCAAGGGAAGAGGTAACCTCGCAGGAATGATGAGCTTGGAAGCATTTGCATTCAGACATTGACATTTTCCCAGATGTTTTTAATTATAATTATTTCCAGTACATTTGCAGGAGAAAGCCTAAAGCATACTTTCCGAGCTAATAGGAATTATGATTGGCAATCCTAGCAGCATCAGTTGGGGCTGAAGTCTATCAACTATGGCTAGTCACATTTTCTGATGTTCAAGTCGTACAACTTCCCCACCCCATCCTCTTTCTGACTAGCTTTCTAACCCTTGTCCCACACCTAACCCTAGCCATGCATTCATATTATGGCACGCACCCACCATCCCCTCATCCCAAATCTCTCCTCAACCACAACCCCAACTTTCTGCTTGCCTTAGCAGCAGAATATTCTCTCCTCAGCCCACTCCAATCATGTTTCTGTCCCCACCTCTCCACTGAGGCCACTTTCAGGGCAGTCATTTATCCCACATTGCCAAGTCCAATGCCAGTTTCTGATTCTCATTTTATTCCACCTTTCATCATTTTTCAACCTAGTTGGTCACACCCTTGTTTTTGAAACCCCTTTTGTGGCTTCCTTGGCTACAGTTCCTGGTGTTCCGCCCCACCCCCCACTCCCCCATCTCCCAGGCCTGTTCTCTGTCTCCCTTGCTCATCTCCACTTTCCAAAAACCAGCCAGCAGGAACTTTCTCAATGTGAATTCCACTTATATCACTCCCCTGCTTGACTCCTTCACAAATCTTCCGACTACACTTAGAATACAATTCCAACTCCTTAACTCAGCCAGCAGGGCCCTCCATGACCTGAGTCCTAACTCCCTCCTAACTCTCTTGTACTACTTTATTCCTTACCTCCTCCCCTTCAGCCACACTGGCCTTTCCTGTGTTTCACCTATGCCAAGTGCATTCCCACATCACCAACAGTGCCCTAGCTTGACCCTCTACCTCAACTTCTCTGCCCTCTGATCTTCACATAGCAGGCTCCATCTTGTCTTTCAGAACTCAGCTCAAATGTCCCTTCCTCTGAAAGGCAAAAATCTGACCCGATCTGACATTGGGCTATTTAGAGTTATATTTATCCTACTCAGTGTGATATCATAGCTAGGTTGAGAACTCTGATCTCCTATTTCCTATATCAGTGCTATTTCCATTATAATGTGCTACCACCTAATAGATACTGGCATATAACTGGGGTATCTTGCAAGAGAAACTGTCTTGCATGATTTGTCTAACAGAAAAGCAAGTCAAAAGAGGCCAACTCTCTTCATCTTCACAGTTCCCTTAATGTACTCAAAAGATGACGAGAAGAGTTATACAGATCTTCCTTGACTTTCAAAGTATATCTCCGTAAACCTATCATAAGTTGAAAAGTTGAAAATATTATAAGTGGAAAATGCATTTAATATGCCTAATATACCAAACATCATGGCTTAGCCTAGCCTACCTTAAAGGAACTCAGAACACTTACATTAGCCTATAGTTGGGCGAAAGCATCTGGCAACACAGTCCACTGAAGAGTATCAATTGTTTACTTTCATGATTACATACCTGACTAGAAGCTGTAGCTTGCTGCTGCTTCCAGCATTATCAGAGATCATCACACAGTATGTCACTAGCCCAAGAAATATTTAAACTTCTAAGTACAGTTTTTGCTAAATGTGTATCACTTTCACATCATCCTGAAGTAGACAAATCTTAAGTTGATTTTAAGTTGAGGGCTTTCTGTAGTTCTAAGAGGTGATTTGGGAATGGGGGAGAGAGTAGGGAGGATATGAGAATTTAGAGCAAATACTATTCTGTTTTCTCTTTATTTTATCAACATCCATATTGGTGGGGGAGATCAGATTTGTAACTAAAGAGTCACAATTGGTAACTAAAAAGTTACAAATTGTGTTGTCTTTGTTTTCTGTTTCTTATAACAGAATACCTAAACTGAGTAATTTATAAAGAAAATGAATTTATTTCTTACAGTTATGGAGGCTAATAAGCCCAAAGTCAAGGGGCTGCATTTGGTGAGGGCCTTCTTGCTGGTGGGGACTCTCTGTAGAGTCCCAAGGTGGTGGAGGATATCACATGGTGAGAGGCCTGAGTGGCCCAGCTCAAGTCTCTCTTCCTCTTCTTAATAAAGCCGCCAGTTCCCCTCCCATGACAACCCATTAATCCACTTACCCATCAATCTCTGAATGAATCAATCCATTCATGAGGGCAGAGCCCTCATGACACAATCACCTATTAAAGAACCCAACTCTCAATACTGCCACATTGAGGATTAACTTTCAACATGACTTTTGGAAGGGACAAACATTCAAACCATAGCATGTGCATATGAGACTAAGGAAGGGAAGTGCCACCCAATCTCCCTTGATAACAGGGAGGTGTCATCACAAATTAGTCTGGAGCAGTATCTGAGAATTAGGTGGATTTTAGCATCAGGACAAGGTAGAGTCATTTTTCCCTAGCTGGCTGACTCTCTATATCAGTTCTTCACCAGGGAGAATACCCTAGTCTTTCCTCTCCTCATCCACCGCTTTTCTCTTCTAAATTAAAGTTCAGGTCTAATCCTTATAAAGCTCCGACTATGCCTGGTCCAGAAATCTAGAAAGAGAATTATGAACCAACAATTGTCAGTGATGGGGCAGGTTGGAGACATGGACAGAATATATGCAGTCCTCCCACCTATGACCATGCTTCAGAGGTTTCTGAGCAGAGAAAATATTCTAAGATACAAAAATAAAACACAAGCTGTTGTCCTGCGAGAAGGTGAGCAACGGACTAAATTAATACATTCTACTGATGATAATAACAATAAGGACAGCTACTGTTGATTGAGCATCTACTGGGTACCTGTCAGGTTCTGTGGTTAGTGCTTTACACATAGTATGTAATTTTATTACCCTTATAATAACCCCAGGGATCAGATACGGCTTGTCAGGAAAACAGAGCTACTCTTTATTTCAATTGGAAAGGTTGAATATAGAGAATTAGAAGCTTCTCAACCTTTGGAAATGCTAGGAGAGTGAAAGTCAGGAAGGTCACTTTTCATAAATCTAAAAGGGAGAGATCCCAAGAAGGTCACTGTGATGATCTCAGCTGCTGAAGCACTTCAGTGGGGTAGTTTCCAGAGGAGCTTTTGGGGTCAAGCAAAGGAAAGATGCTGCAAATGAGCCAGCTTTCTTTTCTCTTTTGCCTTTCGAAACTCATACAAGTCCCACTCACTGGCAGATTTAACCCAGCGTCATGCTGGAAAAAGATTCTGTGAAATGTTCCTCCAGATTTCTCCCCTGTGAGACAGAGAAATTTTAGAGAAGGTTGGGGATGATGCTTGGTAGACAACGATCGAACTCACTTATAGGCATCTTGATCCGTATTTACAGATGAGAAAACTGAGTAGATTTCCAAGGTCACACAGCTAGAAAGTAGTAGAGGTAAGCCCAAGCTCTGCTGACTTTGTCAAGCTGACTTTTCCAAAGAGAAGACTAGACAGTTAGCCTTGACTAAGACCTCGATATCAGAGGCTGTGGGAACCCCGAACGGGAACAAAATACAATCCATTCTCTTAAGGATCTTAGTCTTGTGAAGTTGTGGAGAAAGAAAACTGAATTAGAAACATGGCAAAGTAGGATGCAAGTTCAAAGGAATGAAGATTTTTTTGTGTGAAATGTGAGTTTTCCTTAGTCGAGCTAAACACGGGGTCATTATATGTGCCAGTTGCCCAGGATAATACTAGTATATATCTATTGTCCTAGAGTTTAGCCTTTGTCCTGGTGATTTCTTTTAGTGAAGAAATAATAATAAATAAATATTATTAATACTTGCATTAAAATATATTAGGATATGTTTGGTATCCTCTACGAATCCAGCTTCTGCTGTGTTTTCCTCTGGTAGTGCAAGAGCGGAATATATGTGCAGAGCACAGAATTCTCACTTTAACACATTGTTAAATCTGAAAGATGATCATCTCTGCTGATCCATGACTAACACTTCCCTTTCAAGGAAACCCTGCAGCACACTTACTGCTAAAATGAAGTGCTCTCTGACATGAGGTGCTAAAGATAGCTACCTCCTCTGGTTTCAAATGGTATAGTACAACTATTTATTTCTGTTGATCTAGCTGGCCATTGTATGTAGCAACTCAGTTGTGCTGTGGTCCAAGTCTTGACCTGTAAGCTGCTCAAAGCAGGATATGTTAAGTGTACATAAAATATGTGTGGAAAGCAGTGACAGCAGTCTTGCTGTAGAACATATGGAAAGTTATCTGATCACTCTTGCTACAGTGGATCCGTCCTTTGCTATGCGGTGTAAATGTACAATTATTTATTTTATTGTTTGACAATGTTGCTTTTTATTTCACAATAACCCCTTGAGAAATAATACACTCAAAAAATAGAATTTCATGTTTGATGAAAAACTAAGTACCAAATTTCCATTTTTCAAGAAAATTGAGGATTAGTGGGAAATATGCACAAAATGCTTACTGACATTTACAATCTGCCATGGGAGACAAAGTGATATCAATGCCCACCTGACAACCAGAAGAAACAAATAGGATGAGATGCATCAGTATCTACTTCAAAAGTTAGTGTTTTAAGAAGACTCTGCCCAAAGAAGACATGTAGCTGCAGAAGGTAGGTTTACATATCGCTCTGTGAAGCATGGTTTTCACTTAGATCATTAGACTGTTCTTAATTAATGCAACTCATTTTTCATTCGCAATTTTCTAGTGCTTTAAGGAAAAGTAAAGGTACAGCTGTTAATGTGTTGGTTCCATTAGCAGGAGAACTTCTCAAAGAATTAAAAGATGCTAGATGAATCTGGGTCATTCGAAGTTTCAAATAGAATATCCAAAAATTATTTGATTTCTTTCATCCAATTCATGGAGTCAATGTAAAACTTTGGAAGTTAATGATGGAGAAATACCTGACTTTATTGTGAATGTTATGGCAAATTCAATTAATTTCAACAATTATTTCAACACTGAAGATAAAATATTTGCTTTTGAAGTAGCAATACAAATACAGAATATAGGTGGAGCACAGTATTACTGTAAAAATATTGTTTTTACTAATTTAAGAAGAAAGCAAGGAAGCAAAAATGAACTTTGATTTATTTGTGGTGCACACACAATTCATATGTACATAAAGAAGTTGGATGTCTCTTGTTGAAATAGAAGCTGTACTTGTTAAGATGTACAAATATTTTATATACACACGGTTACATACGTCAACTACATTTTCAGCAAGAAGCTAATTTGAATACCAAAAATTTGGCCTAAAATATTTACAAAATTAAATATAAAAAAATAAGAATTGAGATTATCCTTTATTTAGCAGAAGTTTCTCTGAACTGACCAGAAACCTCAGCACCTATGGAAATTGTATTTTCTCCACTAAAATTATTATTGTGACCCACAGAAAAGAGGTCATCAAAGATGTCAGTAGGACTCTCTCTTCATTCCCTGCCTCTGGCCTTCTTAGCTCATTTGCTTCAGTCTTCTTTTGCTACAAACTCTGTCTTCATATAACAAAAATCATGGCAACCAACGTTCCTAAGTTTTCTATTTCATACCTTCAGCCATTTGGTGATTTTCTGAGTTTCAAATCTAAACCTCTAAGAGAGCGGATTCATTGGTAAAGATTACGCATGTGCTTCTGGCCACTCAACACAGGATGTCATTGCACAGCCATGTGGAGGGCTGTGAAAGAGGTATTCCCAGAAAAGGAGCCTTTAGGTGTCCAGTATACTACATGGGTGTCCAGTATACTACATAGGTGTCCAGTATACTACATAGTGTTCAGTATACTGCAGACCACAGTGCCAATCCCAGATATAGGGAAATCAGGAGGAGGAGGTGGTTTGAGATGGACGGGGAGACGATAAACATTTTGCCCATCTCAACTATTTATTACTAAATTTTTCAGACATATAAATGAATTCCATAATGATACAATGAGCAACTCTTTATAGGAGCCATCTAGATTCAATAATTTTTAATGTTGTGTTATATTTGCGTTAAGTTCCAATATGTTTGTGCGTGTGTCTGTTTTCTAAACTATTTAAAAGTAAGTTGCAGACATCATGGCACTTTACTCCTCAATATTTCAGCATGTATCTTGTAAGAATAAAGATGTTTTCTTACAAATCTATAATACCATTATCACACCTAAAAATTAACAATTATCCCCTAATATCATATTTAATCCACATTCAAATGTATTCAATAATGTCTTCTATAGCCATTTTTAAAACACGGATCCAATCGAGTATGATTTTATGTTTAGATATGGACTTTAAGATAACTGTTCAAATTTAGATGTTCAGCAGACAGGTGTAAATGCAGGCCTGGAGTTCAAAAGACAGTTGACGGTAGTTAGAAAGGACATTAGAGAATGACAGGTTTCCACAAGAGAGAAGAGAAAAAAGATGAGAAACTAGTGAATTGAATATCAGTGAATCAAAGGAAGGGAAGAAGTGGCTAAGAGTACTAAACACTGCAAATCAGATTAGCTTTGAGGAAAAATGCCTTGACTTGGCAAGTCAGATCCAATGGGGAGCAGTTTTCCTAACAGAGGAAGTTAAATTATAAGGAGTTTAGTATAAGTGAGTTATGAAGAACTGGAACTGCGAGTGTAGTCTCCTGTCCAGAAGTTTCAAGTTGAAAGAGAGTGAAGAGGTTAAATGGAACAGAAGTTCTTGACTTTTTCAACACAGTGAGCCCTTTTCATTTTTCTCTCCCCACCCCAGCACCACTACCTTGGAGGCAATGTTTTAAAAGACAGTTTATTAATAACGGAGTTCATAATTTTTCTTAATCAGGGTTAGCTGCCCATTAAAGCTCCTCAAAATCACAGATTAGACTTCCCTTGAAGGAAAGGATCCGTAGACAGTATAATGAGCCTTGCCAAAAGAAAAATATGTTTTTCTCCAAGACACAAAGAAATGAAGAGAGAGACAAAGAAATGTTGAAGTAGAGAGGGTGCTTGTAGAGACAAATGTTGTAAGCCATGTAAGCCATAAGCGGGAGAGAAAAGAACTTGAGGGAACACTAGTCAGAGAACCTCAAGCTAAGTCGTGTGATGACAGCAGGGAATGCAGGGATGCACTGGAAACTTGAAATATATAGAAAAGAACTAGAATAGCTGCTGAGTCAACTCTAAGAGAGTAGAAAGATTGGTAAAGTAGCCTGTTTTAATTCAACTACGATTCATTGAGCACTTATGCTCCAGGCATTCTGACAGACACTAGGTTACAAAGATACACAGTCCAGATTCGCCCTCCTTTCTAACAAGTACCTTCCTACATGACAACACACTCTTCCGCTTTTTCTCCTGCTTCTCTTCCCTCCTTCTCAATCCCCTTTGAGGACTCCTTTACTTCTGTGGTTTCCTTAAAATTTAAGTCTTAAATAATATTGGACACCAAGTTTCCATCGTAGGCCACCTTCTCTTCTCACTTTATGCATTATCTTTAGGTGATCACATACACTCATACTGCTTCAAGTAGAAACCTTCTATTGTTGACTGCCAAATCTGTCTTTAATCCTCTCTCAAGGGCCAGACTCATATGTAATGAAGGGAAACAAATGGATACTTAAAATCAAAACTAACTGTGGCCATTTCCTTTCTAGGAGGCATCATTCATATCACTGGAAAAATAACTCTCTGTACTCCTCCCAGGATCTATATATCTCTATTAATTGCATGATACGGTGGGAGGTTTTGCTTTACTTTCCTTTGTTTTGCTTTACTTTCCTTTGTTTTGCTTTTGTTTGTTTGTTCCTATTGCTAGGAGGGAAACAGGCAAGGAAAGAAGGCAAAGCAATTCAGGAGGAGGTTGGAGCCCAGGTTGGCAGAAATGGCTACTCAAGAACAAGTATGATGGTTACTCATTTATAAATTGTACTTCATTGCTGCCACCCAAACTTCTTTCATCTCCGTACATCATGAGTGAAGCCCTGCTGCATACACAATGGCCTTGTGTGATTGGGTTTTTGGTTTGAGTTTTGTGAAAATTAAGGGAAAGAAACTGAATTCAACAGCTGGGTTGATGTGGCATAAAACAAGAATGAGGAGATGCTCCATCAACTCAACTAATTCAACAGCAGCCAGAATTGAGGTTTACAGGCAATGAGGGAAAACATTAATCACCCCCTCCAGAATCTGTAAAGACTTTGGGAAGGAATTGAAGTTCTCACTATATGTGGGATGAGATTTCAATCATTTCCATTTAAACCTCAAAGGCAGTATAGCTCAGCAAACCCTGGATATACACAAATCCAACTGACTACAGGATATCCCCACTTGGACACTGCCAGAGAGACATCAGTTGTAGCATGGCCACACCAGACTTCATGTTCTCACACTCACCCTTGCAAACTGTTCCACCTGCAGTTTTCTGTATGTTAGTGAAAGGCAGGTACCACCATTCACCCAGTTATCCACATCACTTCTCCTTATCCCTGTCCCCTTACGTCCTATCAGTCACTAAAGCTTATTGGTTTTTACCTCCTAAATATCTATCAAATTCTGCCTCCCACCCTTCACTCCCTTGCTTCAGGCCACCAGTGTCCCCAGCCAAGGCCTCATCTCATGGCCTCCATTCTCATTCTCCCACATCCCCTTCTCTATGCAGAAGCCAAAGTGATTTTTCCAAAATGCAGCCAGATCATGTCACTCACTCCCCTGCATAAAACCTTTCAATGGTCTCTTATTGTCCTTGGGATAAAATAAAGTCCAACTTCCTCAGGTCCTTTTTGATCTATTCCTATTGGCCTCTCTACCTTTATCATGGTTCCCTCTTTCACCGGGACTTTTTACATCTATTGCACAGAACTACTTTTAGTTCCGGGACTACTTCATGCTCTTCCTTTCACCTCTTGCATTTTGCACAGGCTGCCTCCTCTGAAATAGCTGCCGTGTCAACTATAAGAGAATAGAAGTCAGATTAGCAAGTTTGCCTGTTTCAGCCTAGATGCCATTTCTTCCAAGAACACTTCCCTGACTCTCCCTTTAACTAGTCCAGGTTATGTGGCTCTCCTGAAGGTTTTCTTAGCATCTTGTGCTTCCCCTATCATGTTCCTTACTGCACTCACATTAATTGCCTGTTTATTTGTTTATCTCTCTTACCAGCTTGTAAGCTCCATGAAAGCAGGGATCATGTCTGTCCATCTGGTTCACAGCTATATCCCTACCATATAGCACAAATCCTGGCTTATAAAAGCCAAGAAATAAAATCTTTACTAAATGAATAACTAATATGCATGAAACATCTTGTAGTTTATGAAGTGCCTTATCTCATTTTAACTTCACCACCTTGTGAAAAAGATATTGTCATCACCTCAAAGCAAAGCTCTACGTTGTTTTATATTTAAGTCCAACATAGACTACATCTGTGAAGTTTTATTTAATTTGGGTAAGTACTATCTAAAACATTAATAAGATTTTTAGACAACTTTAGAAGAAATTAGTCTTATATCAATCTTTCAAAATAGTATAATAACTAACTGCTAATAAAGTGTCTCATATAGGAAAGGTCACCCTGTTAGATGTCCTTAAATAAATATAGGTCATTCTGCTGTGCAGAGCAGAATATTTTTGCATTCATAAATGTTGTGCTAAAGTCCCACAAAACACCTAATACTCTTAAGTGGATTAAACATGCCTCCTATGATCTGATTTATACAGTGAATGTGCCAAGCAAAACCTTTCTCCATAGAGAGATCAGATTGTAAACTTCAGTTGAACTCTGAAGAAATTGTCATAAATTCCAAACTAGTGGATGCCAAATTAATGACATTTTGCTTTAAGCTCTTCTCATGGAAGGGCCAGCCAATCTTTGTAGACATTTTCAATGTATCAACAATGTTCTAAAATCAGACTTTTTAATCTAGAAGCCACTAGACACATGTAGCAGAGCACTTGAAATGTAGCTAGTGAGAATGAGGAATCAGATGTTTAATTTCACACCGCCTTAAGTAATTTAAATTTAAAAACTGAAGCAGTGTGATTTTTATACTGATTATATGCTAAAATGAAAATATTTTTGATATGCTGAGTTAACTAAAATATTAAACTATTACAATTACTTTTGTCTACTTCTAGTTCTCTTAATGTGACTACTGTAAAATTTTAAATACCATAATGGCCCATATTACATTTCTATTGGGCTTCACTGTTCTAAAACATGCTCTAATATGCAATCAGATAGGAGAAAGACACGTACAATTTATGTAAAATGGCACTGATAATTTTATAATACTGTGTTATTTATCACTGATAGGAAGTTAAACTATTTGAAGTAGATGGTTTCCTAACATCTAGAAAATGATAATGTCATTTTCTAGACCCGTGATAATGTCATGCTATAAAGCATATTCTGGGAAAGGGTAACTGAGCATTTACTAAATTATACTACCACATTACTTATCCAGATTTGTCTTTTTTTTTCAAAGAAGCAGAAATTGTTTGATTGTTGTAGCTGTTTTTTTGTTTGTTTGTTGGTTGTTGGTTTTTATGTCTGAAATCTTACCTGGAACTTCAATGCATACAATGATGTAAAAGGATACTGCTCTGGTTAAAATGCAAGTAAAGATTCCAGAGCTGTCATCATTGGTCTCCCTCTGCCACAACCCATGACCCTAACACTGCAACCTACAACCACACACACACACACACACACTCCTCTCTCTCTCTTCTTGATGGCCTCTGACACCTCTTCAGAATGCAGGGCTCTGCAGTAATAAATAGTGTGACCAATACCGCTCTAGAACACAGCCTAGAATCAAGAAGGAAACAAAGAGAGGCCCTGAGCATTCAAATGAGGTGTGTCAACATTCAGATACTCCCATTCCCACACTTCTCTTCATTAGTACTCTCAGCCACCTTACAAAATCTGTTCATTCCTTCTTCTTGCATACATTTTTTTTGGACAGAATCTTGCTCTGTCTCCCAGTCTAGAGTGGAGTGGCATAATCTTGGCTCACAGCAACCTCTGCCTCTTGGGCTCAAGGAATCCTCCCACTTCAGCCTCCTGAGTAGCTGGGACTACAGGCACATGCACCACCACGTTCGGCTATTTTTTGTATTTTTTATAGAGACAGGGTTTTGCCATGTTGCCCAGGTCAGTCTGAAACTGCTGAGCTCAAACAATCCACCTGCCTCAGCCTCCCAAAGTGCTGGGATTACAAGCGTGAGCCACCATGCCCAGCCTTCTTGCATACACAGTTCTAACATGCTTGGTTATAGTTTCTCAATGCATAAACATGAGCTGTAGGAAATAAAAAGATAGGCCTTGTGGAATGATGGATGTGGGGAGTGTGAGGGAATTGTGCAAAGAGAAGGAGAAAAAGGGAAGAGATTATTGGAACAAACAGGAACAGTGGTAGTTCTAAGTAATGAAAGCAAGACAGAGAAAGAACTTTCCAAAGCAGGTACCAGAATTCATGTAGAGTGACAGACTGGGGCCAGTGAGTATTCGGCAGTGCAATCTTGGCTCACTGCAACCTCCGCCTCCTGCCTTCCGGGTTCAAGAGATTCTCCCGCCTCAGCCTCTGGAGTAGCTGGGACTACAGGCATGTGCCACCACACCCGGCTAATTTTTCTATTTTTAGTAAGACAGGGTTTCGCCATGTTAGCCAGCCTGGTCTCGAACTCCTGACCTCAGATGATCCACCTGCCTCAGCCTCCCAAACTGTCCCATACTTCTTAATAGATCCTCAGGAGAGCTCTGTGCCAGGACACAATAAAATCATTGATGCTCATATTCACCCTGAAGCTTTGAAGAAAGAACCAGTATGGATATTCTGTTCAATGAAGAAGGTGGAGGAGTATACAATTCATTCAAGCAGATAGCCATAAAATAGGCTAAAATAAACCAAACTTTGATATTTAAAGGATAGCATCCAGCCACCTAAATAGCTCAGATATGTGAAATAGCTCATTTTGTACCAGAGATTGACATATTAGGTGTTATGAGGAAGGAAGGGAACCCCCATGGATTACAACATATAACTAACATACATCTCCAAACAAGCAACATGTGCTTGAAAGTATTTCATGCCTGCGGACTGTAAAACTTGGAAAATAAACAGATTTGCTCTTGTAATTCATCGATCTCATATAGATATAAACCAAGTCTGTGTTCTGGCAAGCATTTCCTAAATTAAAGCAATTGTCTGGGAGCTGTCACAGTGGACTCATGTAATATAACAGACATCTTTCAAGGCTAGTGGGGTAAGGGAAAGATGGGAGCAATCATACAAGACCCAACAGGGAGACCATTTGGGAACGGAAAAATGCACACAGGGAAAGTAGTAGCAGCTTCCTTGTTAAGACAAAATCATTACGGATCCTTACCTTCAGCCGTGGAGCACAGCAGACCCCCACAGCTGTTGGCATAGAAGGAATGTATTCAAGACGCAAAGTATCCTTCAGACGGTGCTTACTGTTCTTTCCCACTGGGAGTGTCCTGAACATGTAGGTGCTGTTACACAACCTTTGATATGACTCATATTAGAAGTGATCAGTAAGAGACCTTGACATTTCTCTTTTGCTAGGTAGCTACCACTCAAAACATCTCAGGTGGCATGATATAAACAGGAAAGAATACACTGGGTAGAAGGGTGTTGGCACATAATGAGACACATTAGTTTGTCTCCTTAATAAAGCTGCTATTGTTTTGATTATGACTACCATAGCATCATAAGAAAAGTGTTATTATATGGCTTCTGTGGTTACAATAATGTTCTTCTCACATACAGTTCAAATGCCCTATGTAGTATGTTTAAGGAATATGTGCAACCGTCAAGGTAAACCCTTCCTTATGGCAGGAAGATCATCAGACTAGGATACAGGAGATATGTTGTGCATCTTTGGGTAGGTTAGTTTTCCAGTATGGTCTCAGTAAAATGAGAAGATCCAACACAGTAACCTGTAAGTGTCTCCTGTTATGATTCTAACAAAACCGAGAATATAGTGCACAAAAAAAAAAACATTTCATGATTAGCATTAGGCAGAACTTGTGGAACCCTCTCGTTCATGGGTATGCCATTATCCCCCTTACACCCTTTCAGTCACTAAAGCTACTGTTACTGCACGTTGTTGGCTTGGAGTGTCTAGGACAAAATGTTCTTTGTAACTGATGGTAGTAGGCTTGCTGGATGTCTAGATATGGTTGGTAATATGCCAACTTTTAATGGACTGATCAATTGTCCTGATGCATTTTATGAAAAGATTAGAAATATCTTGATTTATAATGCCTGCCACATTTCCCTTCCCTTGGAGCCCCCTCGGTTACCTCATTTGGGGGCAGTCTTACTTTCCTTGTGACTCATGTCTCAATCATTAATTCATATAGGTCAAGCACAAACTGCCACAAGTATCTTTTGCCTCAATCCTCAGTTCATTTCCTGTTGTCACCAAGCACGAGTCACATATAAGGAAACTTCATTGTGTCATTCATATATTTCAACTCTTTATCGCTCTCCTGAATTGAGCAATTTCATTGTATGATACAAAAGTACAAAAAAAAGTTAATTAAATGCTTATTCCATTGAAGATACCAGGATACCTGATACCAGATTACATGAACACTCATTTCCAATTAAAAGTTTATTTTAATGAAAACAAGTTGGAGTGTTTTCTCCACCCTTGCTGCCAAAATTCATCTGAAAGCTTTGGGTTTCCTATGCACTGATGCAGTCTGCTCTTACTGTTTTTCAATTCCAAATATAAACCTCTATAAATACTTGCCTATCTTCAGATATCCTGCACATAGCCAATATAAATAATACAGTTGGGATTAATCAAATAATCAGTGAGAATCTCATGCTGAATAAATAGGCCCACAGGAGGGGGTTCACTACTTGAAAAACTGCCTTCATTCTTTCACTCAACTAAATTTCCATTTTATAAATTATTAATATTAAATTCATTATTATTAATGCATATGTTTAAAGAAGTCACAATTTACAAAAGCTATTCCCATTTTACAGATGAGGAAACTAAGGCACAGAGAAGTGGTAATTTATTCAATTTATTAATGTTTTTAATATCTTTTGTACCTGTAGCAGCACTTTCTACTACTTTCAATAACTTAAAAAGTCACAGCCTGAAGTCACATTGGATCATTTTAGAGTCTTCTGTTATTCCAAAGCAAGCCATGGACTGAAGTAAAGGGAAGAGACTTCCACTTCCTACTCCCACTACAGTCAATTAATAAACCCTATTGGAATAAACCTCTCTTTATGATACTATCAATATTAAAACATCAACAAGGAAAAGCGCCAAATAATATACATATTGGTATGAATTGCACACCTCCGTGTCAATATTCCTACCATGTTGCATTGCTGGATGTCCTTACACAATGAAGCTATTTCTTCCTACAGCTTCTGTCCATTCCCAAACAATAAAAGTCGCACATGATCAGTCCTTAACAAACGTGTGATGACACTGGCAAGTCTCCCCATCACCTTTTAGTGACAACTCTTTCTCTTTAGGTACCCTGTGTTTTCCTGTTCTAAACCTTCCTCCCATCAAAGAAGAACAGAACTTGTTATCAGTCATTATGGGGGAAGTAGAGACATTCTTGAAAGGCTCTTCCACCCATAGGCTTACGGGAAACTATCCCCCACGTCCAGTGATAAACTAGAGTTCAAGGTCTACTGGCCAGCTCTTGCTTCCTAAAAATGTCACCAACATTAACATTTCTGTATAAGGGGCTAAGGAAAGGGAAGGCAAAAGTTAGTATATCAACTATTTTATTGTCTCTGGTCTATGCACGCTTGAATGTTTCACTGGACCAGTTTTGCTTATCATCAATACTATGCATCTCTCAGAGCAAAATATAGCCACAAGAATTTTCATGCCAAGAGACAGAAGTTTAGAGCTAGAAGTTTAGAGCTAGTATTTTCATACTGTGGAGATAGAAGTTTAGAGCTAGAAATGATCTTAAAAATATTTTAGTCCAACCTCTTTATTTTCAGGAGTAGAAAGTATGAGACTCCAAGACAGAGGAATAGTTTGCCCAGGCACAGCCTAGTAAGTGGCAGAGAGTAGAGAGCATTAAGAGAAGAGAGAAGCTTGTCTTCTGCCCCACCTACTCTGACTTGTGTCTCAAGTTAGAGTTTCTCTGGGGGTTGGCCATTGGCGAGCTGAGGTTCTAGGGCCTGCTGTAGACATATGCTAAGGACAAATTTGGAGGCCACAACCTAAAAACCGCTAATAAATAACAGACCCCAGCCTGCCGTCTGGACAGGGACCAAGAACAGGAGGGTGAGTGAGTGGCACCTGAGTACATAGATCCAGTCATCGTCTGTCTTATGAAACACTGACGTTTCAGCACAGTTAGTTGACAGAAGATTGTCATTTACTCATTTCTAATTCCCCTTTTCCTGACAGTTTATTCTGTACCTGTAGCAGCACTTTCTACTACTTTCAATAACTTAATAAGTCACAGCATGAAGTCACACTGGATCATTTTAGATTCTTTTGTTATTCCAAAGTAAGCCATTGGCTGAAGTAAAGGCCGAAGTAAAGGGAAGAGACTTTACACCTCCCCACCTATTTTTTTTTTTTTTTTTTGGGACAGAGTCTCCCTCTGTCACCTAGGCTGGAGTACAGTGGCACAATCCCAGCTCACCGTAATCTCCATCTCCTGAGTAGCTGGGGATTAGAGGTGTGCGCCATCATACCTGGCTAATTTTTTAGTAGAGATGGGATTTCGCCATATTGCCCAGGCTGGTCTCAAACTCCTGGCCTCAAATGATCCACCCACTTCAGCCTCCCAAAGTGCTGGGATTACAGGTGTGAGCCACCACGCCCGGGCTATCCCGTCTTTCTTTAGCCCTACCTTCTCCAATTCTACCAAAATCACATTTGTGTTTTCCAGTGCATTTTAATTTACAATGAATTTTGTCTGTCATTTCCAAATCTACTTTTCCTAAAGCCCTTAAATGCATTTCTACATCTTCCATGGGACTTTTTGTCTCTTTTAATAAATGGCTTATTTTTAAGCAAGAAAACAGAAAATACAAAGAAGCAAAAATAAAAATAATCCATACTTCCACTACATCTGGAATTAACACTGCTTACATTAGCAAACTTTCTGAGGGTGAGTTGAGTCATTGTAAGTCTTTCCTCTAGTTATCAATAGCAGGGTCTTTAAATCCACATACACTAGTCTATCAAAAATTAACACCTAACCAATCACCTTTCTAACACTTGACAGTACCTAGCTTATTTCTGTTTCAGCATTTTTGCACTAGCTGTTCCCTCTGCCTGAGATACTTCTCTTACACCTTCTCATGCTGATTCTTTCCTGTCTTTTCAGGTTTCTGTTCCTTCAGAAGAATCTTCCCTTACCAACTTCCTCATATTAGAACCCAGTCACTTTCAATAATATCACCTTATTTTATTTTCAAGGTACTTATCACAACCTGATACTCTCTTTTTTATTTCTCTAGTGCTTTATTGTCTCTTTCCTTAAGTAAGCTCCATGAAGACAGAGATCGTATGTGTCTTGTTCACCATGAGATTCCCCAATACGTAGCATAGTGCTTGGCACATATTAGGTAATGGTTTGAAAGAATAAATGAGCCATGGAAGACATGTACTTGGGGTTGCACTGAATGATCTGTGCCCCCTTAGGTTATCTCTTGTAGCCAATAGCACAGAATACCTGTGAAGTCTGTGGTTTTGAAAGCACTAACTGGCCCACACAGGTTTAAGCCTGTGACATTAGCCTTACTAGTATTATCGCTGAGAATGTCATCGGTTTTCACTTTTACCTTAAACTATTGATAGACTTGGAAATATCTTGAATTTATTGAACACCACACAATATAGGTAACTTGAATAAATACAAATGGGGAAATTTTCCTTTTATAGTACTTCTATATTCAACTGAAATATAGGAGACTTATAAGAGGCCATCCTCTTTGGACAAGCATGTTTCTCATAAGTAGTTACCATTTCTACACCATTTAATCAAGACCTACTATTATAATATGAGGCGAACATGAGATTCCATCCCTAAAAATGTACCTTAAGCTTAAACATTAGTGGTCAAACTAATGTTGATCTCTAAACAAACAGGTACTCTCCCAGTTCTTCTTCCTTCAGAAGGTGAAAAGAAGAGCTTTTGATATATAAAATCCACTAGCCTAAATCCAATTCAATTTGTGGAAAAGATGGGATAACTTTACCTTTGAGGTATATATTCAATTAGATTGTAATCATGTAAAAAGCAAACAGAATGTTCTTTGAAAGAAACAAAATTCTCACATTGTGGGTGGGAATTTGAGAATTATGCCTAACTAATTTCATGGGGGAAGTGGTCAATATTAATAAGCAATAATTGAAAGCACAGACTTTAAAGTTAATAGTTCTGTCTCAAGTTTGTGAGCCACCACTTACTTGGTAATCTTGGGAAAGTTACTTTAACCTGTTTAGACACTTCAGTTTAATCATCTATAAAGTAGATAATAATAGTGCTTACTTCCCAAACAGGTTGTAAAGATTACATACACAACACTCAGGAAGGTACCTACTACATAATAAACATTCAACAAAAAGTAGTAGAATGACTCTATACGTAAAAATATTTATTTAACATCTTTACCAAATACAAATACTTATTTAGTACCCACTTGGTATGAAACAGTTAAAAAACCATCAAAGACATAGAAACAAATCAGCTGTGGTCCTGTTTCTCAAGGAGTTCACACCTGGGAGCAAGGGAAACAAGGCATACACAAACAAATAGAATCCAAGGGAGACTGTGGTCAAATGTTCCAAGAAGTGAACTTGTATCAGTTGAAAATGACAAAAACCCAACCCAAATCAGCTTAAGCAGGAGGGTGATATATTTCCTGTCAAATTCAAAGAAAGCTGCAGAAACCACATCAGGGACTTGAACTTCACTCTTCATGCTTTTGGGTTGCCCCATCTCTGTCCCTCTCCGATCCCTGATATTGATCACCTATTTTTGAACAGTTTCACACTGTTCTAATAAAGGAAGAATTCCTCCTTGTTATAGGAATTATAAATCACTCCTGGGCTAATCAACTTGGCCAGTAGGATGGGGTATTATGACTGGTATGATGGGTATATTATGAATTTGGATTAGCTACCCACTATGAATTATAACAAGGGGAGAAAAAAAATCCCCAAAGGAAGATGGGTACAGGTTGCTGGGGAAGTATAAAGAAAAAGAAAAAATGTAAAAGAAAAAAAAAGTAAAAGAAAAAATGTCCACTAAAATGGTAGTCTGATAATACTAGTCATATTACATCATACCAAATAGTTCTATATTACTCATATGAATACATTTTATCATTATACCACTGAGAAAATTCTTAATGTCAAAACAAGTGAGTTTTTTCTTTCTGGCTTTTTGCCTATTGTTTGGGAAGAGCTGAAAGGGAAGCTAGAATTTAAAAACAACCCTGACTGCAAGAAACTCAATCTCCATCAGATTCTTGATGATTTAGAAGTCCTGTTTAGTCAATGGGTTGATTAAAGGCAGGTTAAGCTTCTCTTAAGAGATGTATAACTAAAATCAGAAGTCAGCCAACTGATCATGAAGAATATTGTTGAGAAATACCTATGCCCAGGAAGTAGGACAACCTTCACAAATCCATGAAACAAGAAAAAGTCCTGTCACCCAAGAGACATTGTTGGAGTTCAATAGAATCCACTGAGAAAGTTCTGACAAAGATGAATAAAAGCATCTGTAAAGAAAACATGAGGCAAGCATTCTTCCTCAGCAGATCACACTTTGATAAAGTAAAGACTGCTTTTTTCCTTCTCAATGCCCATTCTCCTCTTTTTTATTAATTAAAAAAAAGCTCAATATTTTAAGCTGGACACATTGCCACATAGCTAAGAAAACTACATTTCCAAGACCTCTTTGAAGCTTGGTGTAGCCACGTGACTAAGTTCAAGACAATAAGATGTAAGTGGAATTCTAGTATAGTACTTCCAAAATAAATGGAGGTGATACCCTTCTTTTTCCCTTTTTCCCTTTTCTGCTACAGAGAATGTGGAAGCAATGGCTGAGTCCATCTTGATCTCTAACGGGACCTTGTAAATGTAAGCTAATCATGGCTGAGCAATACAATAAGAAAAGCTTGGGTCGCTGAGATTGTGGAGCTACCATCATAGTCCTGAGCTGCCTCTCTCCAGCCTGAAATAAATCTACATCTTCTTTAAAGTACAAATTTTTATATGTTTGTTACCGCCAAACCAAATCCTAATTGATGCAAAAGATGTCCATAACCAATGCATTTTATTTCATTTGAATTAAATATGCTAATGGCCTTTTCTCTGTGAATACATAGCTTGATACCATCCTGAAACCAGAAGACAAAAGCTTATTGGTGTTTGAGCTATTATACATTTTTTGTAAGTTTAACATTGCTGTTACATGAATGATAAACCTAAATTAATACAAATGCCTTCATGAAGAATGTTTTCATTTTTCTTTTAATAATGTTGAAATGCAAAGATAAATACAGAAATGAATCTAATATCTTATGTCAGCTCTATGTAGATTCATTGTGTAACTGAATAGTGTAACACCACTTTAGATGAGTCAGCTCTGAAGAGCTAGCTCTAAGAGGTGAATTCATCTAATTGTTCTGTCAATGCTTATACATTTTATGTTAATGTTGAAAGTATTATGTTCGTATTTTTAATACACTGGCAACTCTCCCAAGGAGGTAATAGAGTTTGAACCAATCATAATGAATGAATGGAAAAGCTGGAGTTTTGGAATTTATAAATTATTTTAAAACAGTGATACTGCTGATATTATAACCAAGTCAAATCCAAAAATGTTACTTTCTTTCTCTTCATAGTTGATTAACATGTACAGGCAAAATGCTATGGTTTGGAGATTTTTTTTTTGTCTTCTTCAAAGCTCACGTTAAAGTTTGATCTCCAATGTGACAGTATTAAAATGTGGGACCTAGTGGGAAGTGTTTGGGTTATGGCGGCAGATCCCTTATGAATATCTTGGTGCTGTTCTTCTGGTGGTGAGTTCTCATTCTCACAAGACTGAATTAGTTCTCTCAGAAATAGATTGGTTAGTTCCCATGAGAGTGGGTTTTTATAAATCCAGGATGCCTCTTAGGTTTTCCTCTTTTCACATGTGTCCACTTCTCCTTTGACATTCCCTGCGATATTGTGACACATCATGTAAGTCTTCACCAGAGGCCAAGGTTGTGCCCTTGAATCTCATATTGCAGAATAAACTTAATAAGTTTCTTTTCTTTACAAATTATCCAGTCTCAGATATTCTTTTATAGCAACACAAAAGGGACCAAAATACTTATATCAGTGAAGGATACAGCATTAATCCTTCAACAGTGTAGATGGGTTTAACTGACTACACTAGATGGTCACCTGAAGCTGAAAAACCAATGACTTTCACTGAATTTTATGAATCTTTCTAGTACATCAGTGACTTCATTCATTCACTTATCTACCCATCCAATGTACTGTGAGTACTTATGTGCCAGACATATGCTAGGAATAAGGGTATAAGAATAAATAATACCTGAGGAAAGAAAAATAATCCAGTGTGTCTGGAGGAAAGGGTACATGAGAACATAAATCAGGAGATTTTCCTATTCATTCATTCATTCAGTCCACCATTTATTCACTCAATAATTACTGAATATCTACTATGTGCCTGGCTAGGAGCAATGAATACAATATAAAAACAAGGCATAAATTTGTCCTACAAAGTATTTAATTGACTAGAAGGCTAACTATTACCCACATATCAGCTAAAATATTATGCATATATGAAGAGACCTTCACCTTATAAATAGTGTCACAGAAAGAACATGTAGCCCAAGAGGAGCTTAAGCTCCAGTCACTGTAGTCAGAAATTCATTGACAGCCATCAAAAGAATAATTTATTCCACGGTTTTCAATTTCACTCTGAAAGAGTACATGCCAGTGTAAGACCTACTATCTAAGGTATACTGTCTCATGTAGAGGTGGCCCTAAATCAAAATTTATAAAATTAGATTTGGGAAAGTGTAATTGTCACATGGCGCATAGGAAAATTTAACAGATCTCAGCCATATCATGGCAGAAAAGGAAAATGAAGATTATGCACACAGACTTGTAGTGGTCAGACCCCTTGCTAGGGTCAAATTGATCTCCAGAAGCATTTTTCTATCACTCACTACTAGCTCTACCTCCGTGGCAATTTTCTGTCTCCTCTACAAAACCAGAAATAATGAGACTCTCTTATCTGCTTTTACTTCAGAGTAACTTCAAGGGAGGAGCAGTTTCCAGCCTTTCAAATATCTCTAGATTTTCCATAGGACGAATCTTGACTATTAACCCTCTCCAGCCATTTTCTCTTGTGTACTTTGGAGACTCAGGGACTGAGAACCATGTCTGTATTCCTGTGTCCTTGAGAGTCTGAAATTGTTAGCAATGCAGAATATCAAATACAATCTTTTCTATCTCGTTATAATGCATATAAAACTGTAGCCAATTCACCTGTAGAATGGAGGTATGGGAATCCTTGAAACAACATGATCAAATTGCAAGAGAACAAAGGTGAAAAAGTCTACAGTAAGATAATTTTTCCTTCACTATATTTGATACTTGTCCTCAAAATGACTCCATTTCAATTTTGAATAATATGATTGCCAGGACGGCAAACATAATCTTTTTTTCTTAATTGAAAAACTTTTGAGATAATTGTAGATTCATATGCAGTTGTAAGAAATGATACAGAGGTGTTCCATGTATCCTTTACCCACTTTCCTCCAGTGGCAACATGTTGCAAACTGAAGTAGAATATCACACCAGGATATTGACACTGATACAATGTCACCCATCTTATACAGATCTCCCCAGTTTTACTTGTACTCCTGTGCCTGTTTGTATATTAAGCTCTATACAATCATATCACCTGTGAAAGTTCATGTATCCACCACTACTGTCAAGAGACTAACCATTCTAAAATCTCAAGGATGCCTCATATTACCCTTTTATGACCACGCATAGCTCCCTCCTGTCACCCACCCTTCTATTCCTAACCCACAATAACCACTAATCTGTTATTCATTTTGAACATTTTGTTATTTCAAAAGGTTATCACATGGAATCATATGGTATATAATCTCTTGTGAATGGCTTTTGTAAACTCAGCATAATTCCTTAGAAATGCATCCAGATTGTCACGTTTATCAATAGTTTACTCCTGTTTATTCCTGAGTAATATTGCACAATACGAATGTAGCACAATTTCTTTCTCCTGTTCAAGGATATATGAGCTGGTTCCTGCTTTTGGCTATTACAAATAAAGCTATAAATAGTCATGTACAGGTGATATGGTATGGCTGTGTCTCTACCCAAATCTCATCTTGAATTGTAATCCCCATAATCCCCACATGTCATGGGAGGCATCTGGTGGGAAGTAAATGAATCGTGAGGGTAGTTTCCCCCATGCTGTTCTCATGATAATGAGTGAGTCTCACGAAATCTGATGGTTTTATAGGCGTCCGGCATTTCCCTTGCTTGAGCTCGCTCTGCCCAGCTGCCCTGTGAAGAAGGTGCCTGCTTCTCCTTTGCCTTCCGCCATGATTGTAAGTTTCTTGAGGCTTCGTCAGCAATGCGGAACTGTGAGTCAATTAAACCTCTTTCCTTTATAAATTACCCAGTCTCGGGTATTTCTTTATAGCAGAGTGAGAATGGACTAATACAAAGGTTTTGTGTGAATATACGTTTCGTTTTCATCCCTCTGGGATAATTACTCAAGAGTGCAAATTTTGGGTTGTATGGTAGTTGTATATTTAGTTTTCAGAGAAACTTCCAATTTTCTGGAGTAGCCATACCACTTTACAACCCTACCAGCAATGAATAAGAGTTCCTGTTGCTCCACATTGTCACCAGCAATTGATCTTGTTACTGTTTTTCATTGCAGCCATTCTGATAAGTACGTGGTGTTATCTCATAGTGGTTTTAATGTGCACTTTCTTAATGGCTAATAATTTTTTAACACATTTTCGTGTGATTATTTGCCATCTGTATATTCTTTTTGGTGAAATGCCTCTTAATGTCTTTTGCCTGTTTATAATTAGATTGAGTTGTTTTTGTTTTTGTTTTTTACCTGTTGTGTTTTGAGTTCTTTATATATTCTAGATAATAGTCCTTTGTTCCATATGAGGTTTGCAAATATTTTCTTAAAGTCTTTAGATTGTCTTTTCATCTTTTTCACTGGGTCTTTCTCAGAATAAAAGTTTTTAAATTTTGATTAAGTTCATTTTATCAATTTTTTTTTATGGATTCTGGTTTTGGTGTTGTCTAAGAACATTTTTTCTAGCCCTAGATCCTGAAGATTTTCTCCTGTTTTTGAAAAAGTGTTTTATTTTCACAGTTTACATTTTATGTTTAATTAGTGATCTATTTTAATTTTTGTAAAAAGTGTGAAATTTAGGCTAAAGTTTTGTATATTTATTTATTTATTTGCCTATGGATGCCTAATTGCTTTGAGACTATTTGTTGTAAAGGCCATGGCTTGTCCATTGAATTGCTTTTGCACCTTTTCCAGTTAAAACATAGAATATTGGTGTGGGACTATTTCCGGGTTCTCCATTCTGTTTCATTGATCTGTGTGTATATTGCTTTGCCAATACTAGATTGTCTTCATTACTATAGCTATGTATTAAGCCTTACTATCCAGGGAGTGATTTCTCCCACATTATTCTGGTCAAGATAGTTTTAGCAATTTTAAAGCCTGTGCCTCTCCATATAAATTTTATATAAGGTTTTCTCTGCCCACAAAAAATAATGCTAGGATTTTGATTAAGACTTGGGTTAAATATGTATATCTATTTGGAAAGAATTAACAGCTTTAATTACATTGAGTCTTTTAACTAATTAACAAGATTTGTGTCTTCATCTATTTAGGTCTTTGGTTCCTTTCATCAACATTGTATAATTTTCAACATAAAAATCCTGTATATGTTTTGTTCAATATATACCAAAGTGTTTAATTTTCTTTGAAGCGATTTTAAATGGTATTGTTTTTAAGTTCAGTTCAGGGAAGTTCATTGTTACTGTATAGAAATCTGACTAATTTTTGTATATTGATCTTGTATCCTGCAACTTTGCTGAACTCATTTATTAGTTCTACTAATTTATTTTTCTGTTTTGCAGACTTCTTAGTGTTTTCTACATAGACAACCATGTCATCTGCAAATAGGGACAGTGTGATTTCTTCTTTTCCAATCTGTGTGCCTTGAGTTAATGTTTCTTACTTAATGCAGTGGCTAGAATAATGTTGAATAAAAGCAGTGAAATTGGACATCTTCCCATTTTTCCTCCCTCCCTTCTCTGTCCCTTTTTCTCTTCCTTCCGTTTTTTGGTGCAGTCTATATCTGGTTTTATTATGTGAGTAATATTATCTTCAAAAATAAATAAGTTGAGTATTCCCTCCATTTATATGTTTTGATAAACATTGTGAAAATTGGTGTTAATTCTTTACATATTTGGTAGATTTTTCCAGTAAAACCATCTGGACCTGAAGATTTTTTTTTCAGGAACTTTTAAATTGTGAATTTAATTTAGTTAATGGTTGTAGACTATTAAGATTACATATTTCTTCATTGAGTTTTGGGAGGTTGTAGTTTTCAAAGTATTTGTCCATTTCTGCTAAGTTGTCAAATTTATGACTAAATTTGTTCATACTATTGCCTTATTATATTTTTAATGGCTGCAGAATCTGTAGTAATATTCATTGTTTCAATTTAATATCAGTTTTTTGAATCTGTTTTTGTCAGTCTTCTTAATCGGTCAATTTTATTGATTATTAAAAGCAGGGGATTTTTATTGTTTCAATAATTTTCTTTTTTTTTAATGTAACGTATTTTTTTCTCTGGTAAGTATTTCTTCTATTCGTTCTGAATGTATTTTGTTCTTCTTTTTCTAGTTTCTTGATTTAGGAAGCAAGATAATCATTGCTGAACTCACACTGTTCAACATTACTCAGTAGAATGGCTTCATATGAGGTCCTGTTTCTTTCAGTCTTTCATATCACCATTGTTGTGCCAAACCCCTATAGACTCCACTGGAGATGGAACAAGGTTCAAAAAGCTGAAGAAGAGACCCAAAGCCAGGAAACATGACTTGGTGTTTTACTGGGGGCTTACATACAGGAGAGAGAGAGTTCAGTGGCTGTGGGCCAGACAAGATAAGTGCCTTACATAGAGTCCAGTGGCAGCAGACTGGACAGGAGAACCACATGGTCCAGTGGTGGCAGGCTAGGCAGAAGAACTGCAACCACTTGCAAAAGGCATGCAGTTTATAGACTATTTTCACTTAGTACTGTCTCCCTAATAACCTCCACTTGGCAACCTTCATTCAGCGCAAAACTCAGGGCCTCTATCCTCTGTATGGCCCATCCCATGGGATAGGCTGGGAGCTCAGATGTTCCTCAAAGACAAGAAATGAATCTCCAGCTTGGCCACTCCTGGATTTTATAGCTCAAAACACTGAACACACATTCAGATGCATCTGCCATACAGAGTCATTCTCAGGAAATGCTTAAGTTATTGCTCTCAGGTGTGTTTACCATACAATCATCTCTAAATATCATAGTCTAAACCCTGTAACCCTTTTGCTTTCATTTTCAGATAAAATCCTGCATGACTGCCTAACCCTAACTGATCAACTTATTTCTCCCAGGACAGACCTACAAGAGACCCTCCCCCCTCTTACAAATACTGATGTTTGGTTTGAAAGTGGATCTTAATTAAAGGAAGAATATGGAATCTACCAAGCTAGTTATGATATAGTTTCTTAAACTGAAGAAATAGAAAGTGCCTATTTTCCAGAAGCCACTTATGCTCAACAAGCAGAATTAATTGTATTGGTTAGAGCTTGTCGATTGGCAAAAGCAATGTTATGAAAGCAAAGAAGTTTCTTAACCTTTTCAGGTAAATACATTAAAAAATAGACATACACAAGGTTTCTAAACCTTTTCAGGTAAATACATTAAAAAATAGACATATCACAACTACTGAAAGCCATGCTATTACCAAAATCACTGGCCATTATTAAAATTCCAGGTCATTCCAAATCAGATACTCCATAAAACAGAGGAAAATAGCTAGCTGATAAGGTAGCAAAGATAGCTGCTCTAAACAACAACAACAAAACCTCTAACCTATTAACTTTTAAGGAAGTACCTGAATTTGACATAAAATTGGCTCAATCCAGAATCCTAAAATCCAAATAAAAAGGCTGGGAAATGAAAGGGGGAAAATACTCCTGAAAAGATAAGGTATGATATGGGCCAAATGACTTGCCCATATTTCCTGCTAAATTATAGTCATTATTTCTAACTTATGTGCATGATTTAATTCACTTGAGTCCTGACAAAATGGTTGTTTGGGGGAAGCATTATTATTGGAAACATTCTCCAACTATAGCTCATAAGGTATACAACCACCATCATATTTGCCAAAGTACAATCCAGGAAAACTATGACACAGTTCCCAAGGAACTATGTAGAATCTGGCCTATTCTTCAACATTTTCATTGTGCTTAATACCCCCAGTTATCTGGATTAGTAGAATGCACAACGAAAATAATCAAAATCTAATTGGCAAAATTAACTGAGGCTTTTTAAATTTCTTGGCCAAAACTTCTTCCATTGGTCTTGCTAAACCTAACATTGACTCCTTTCATTAACACATTATCTGAAATCAGAAATTTGAAATTATAACAGGCAGACCTATGAAATTATCTCTTGGATAGTGTGTCTCCTTAATAATGAGGGGGATACATTTACCTATTGTAATAGTCTTATGACACAATTAACTAAAAATTATATATTGGTAACAGAATAGTAAAAGAATGTTTTCACAGTAAGTTCCCAGGAGATGAAAATCTTGAGCACCGGGAGCTTCAAAGTGGAGATTTTGTCTATTGGAAATGACACCTTCTAAAGTATTCTCTAACTGAGATGGAATGGACCTTATTTGATACTCCTTACTATTTCTTGTGCTGCTAAATTAGAAGACATAGATGCTTGGAGTCATATCACTCATCTAAAGACAGCTGAACTTCCTGAATGGACTGTTTCATCAAAAGGTGGTCTTTGAATTAAGATAAGCAATACTAGTAGAAGATGATGACATCAGAGGTGGTCAACTTTCCATAGACTTGGGGCCAGACTTGTTTCTAAATGAGTGGTTATACTTACTTTACAGTAGCTGTTATTATAGCTGTCTTAGGAATATTGATGATTGTTACCATCTTATGTAAAGTAGTGAGAGACAGGACTAGCTGGATTTCCTAGGCTGACTAAAAATCCCTAAACCTAGCTGGGAAAGTGACCACTTCCACCTTTAAACATGGGGCTTGCAACTTAGCTCACACCCGACCAATCAGATAGTAAGAAGAGCTCACTAAAATGCTAATTAGGCAAAAAAAGGAGGTAAAAAAATAGCCAATCATCTGTTGCCTGACAGCACAGTGGGAGGGACAATGATCAGGATATAAACCCAGGCATTCGGGCCAGCAACAGCAACCCCCTTTAGGTCCCCTCCCCTTGTATGGGAGCTCTGTTTCCACTCTATTTCACTCTATTAAATCTTGCAACTGCACTCTTCTGGTCCGTGTTTGTTATGGCTCGAGCTGAGCTTTTGCTCGCCATCCACCACTGCTGTTTTGCCGCAGTCACAGACCCGCCGCTGACTTCCATTCTTCAGGATCCGGCAGGGTGTCTGCTATG
Source organism: Homo sapiens (assembly GCF_000001405.40). Taxonomy (NCBI): domain Eukaryota; kingdom Metazoa; phylum Chordata; class Mammalia; order Primates; family Hominidae; genus Homo; species Homo sapiens. Next base: position 147,773,246 of record NC_000023.11, read on the forward strand.
CTCCTGATTCAGCGAGGCGCCCATTGCCACTCCTGATCAGGCTAAAGGCTTGCCATTGTTCCTGCAAGGCTAAGTGCCTGGGTTCGTCCTAATCGAGCTGAACACTCGTCACTGGGTTCCACGGTTCTCTTCCGTGACCCACGGCTTCTAATAGAGCTATAACACTCACCGCATGGCCCAAGATTCCATTCCTTGGAATCCATGAGGCCACGAACCCCAGATCAGAGAACACGAGGCTTGCCACCATCTTGGAAGCCACCTGCCACCATCTTGGAAGAAGCTCACCAGTCTTGGAAGCTCTGTGAGCAAGGACCCCCGGTAACATTAGGACATTTGCCTTATTTTAACTAAATTTCTTAAATTAACTAAAATGAATGTTATATTTTTCTCATAGTTGTCCCTTTGTCCCAGTGCATAGAATGGCATAACACTTTGGTTAAGTTACCCAAAGTGTTGCCACTAGACGAACCTATCAGATTGTTGAATTTGCCACATAATTCCTAGATCAATTCATGACTAATATATGCCATTAGTAATACATTCCACTGACTTCTCAGATTTCCCTAAAGTCACCACTTATTTAGACTGACCTCTTTCTGAATTGACTTTCCAGGTCTGACTGTTTCATAACTCAGATATTACGAATACTTGTTTTAATGTGTCCCTTGTTATTAATGTTGGAAACCCATTCTATATCACAGGATATCCACAATCCATGGACTGAGTAAACAAATGTATTCTAGATAAAGTTAAAAATAAGTCCTTACTAAGCCAATACCTAAATTAAGACTTTTATGTAAATGGATTCTGAAAAGCTTGCAGGGGAAGGAACCCATGGTTCAATTTGGTAATGTCAGCACTCCCTATGAATAAATCCATTAGTTAACATACCCTTGGGGGTATCACCTGTGCTCCCTCAGGCTATGTTTTGGTATGTGAAGCGAGGTCTGATCTGCCTACACAAACATGGGCACACTGTTGCCTCAACAATTTACAAGTGAAGGTTTCTGCTTGCTGAGACATTTTGTAGCCCCCCTTATCCTTACACAAATACAGAAAATAACCCCCTTTTTATTTTCATTACAGAGCTAAAAGGTCTGTATAGACCTAGAAAGCATCCTAGAAATAATGATTCCAAGTTCTGGAGTTTATGTCAGTTGAGATATGATTTGTTTCTTTTTGAGACAGGATCTTGCTGTTGCCCAGGCTGGACTGCAGTGGCATGGTCTTGGCTCACTGCAACCTTCACCTCCCACGCTCAAGTGATTCTCATGCTTCAGCCTCCCAAGTAGCTGGGACCACAGGTATGCGCCACCATGCCCGGCTAATTTTTTGTATTTTTTGTAGAGACAGGGTTTCATCATGTTTCCCAGGCTGGTCTCAAACTCCTGAGGTCAAGTGACCTGCCCACCTTGGCCTCCCAAAGTGCTGGGATTACAGGCGTGAGCCACCACACCTAGCCTGAGATATGATTTGAAACCTATCCACCACTATTTGTCAGATAGATGAAGACACTGCAAAAAGTATTGCGGCTCAACAAAAATCCTTAAATTTTTGTAGCCCAAGTAGTACTAGACAATAGATTTGCCTTAGACTACTTGTTGGCTGAAAAAGGAGATACCCGTGCAATAGCAAAACCACCTGTTGTACTTATATTAACGTCTCTGGAGAAGTAGAAACAAGAGTGGAAAGGATAACTTAGAAGGCTAAATGGCTACAAGATACAAGTAAAATTGATCCTTCAAATGACTTGCATGGTTGTTTACCCTCAGGACTAAGTTCTCTATTTTGTTCTGGTATTCAAGTTGTGATTATTATCATCACAAGCATAGTTGTTATTTTTCTGGTTATTAAGTTAATCATGATTTGTCTTTCTACTTGTTTAAAATCAGCGGGAAAAAACTAAAATAATGATTGTTTACAGAATTGTAATTGAAGAGGCAGCACTGTAGCCTGACTCATTACAAAATCACCTCCATGTTGCTCTACATTTGGGCTATTAACTGTATCAGTGTCAATTTGTCCAAAACCCTCTGCTATGGGACATAGCCTAGGAATGAGCCTTCCCAGTTACACAGGACCCAAGCCCCTGAACATAAAAGAAGTCAGAAATATTTAATTCATCTATGATGCTTTCTTGAAGAGATTTTGATGAAAAGGAGGAAATGTAAAAATAATTCCAAATCAAAGCTGTTGGAATTTTCCATTATTTTGAGCCTTAAAGGAAAGTGATTATTGGACCTGAGTCATGTGACAGGCAGCTATAACATTTGTTCCTCTGGTTATAGATTAGCCTTTTATTTATGTACATTATTTTGCAAAGTGTAAAAAATCTAAAGGATGCAAGAGAAGAACTGTTTCCTCTTTACTGTTGATCTTCGCAAAGATTAACTTCCCTCTTACTTTTCCTATACAAAGACCTCACAACTCTCGTATTCTCTAAAATAAAATGTTAAATATACTCTTTTTAATTAGAAAAAGAAAATAGCTGTAACTAATCAAATTGCTGTAAGTCATAAACCAGCCTTTTACAAAAATGTTGTCATTCTGTTAAATTTCTTTGTTTTCTGCCTATAAAGCAAGATCTAACTTTTTAGCTTCAGAGCACTGACCCCACTTCTTTGAGGTCTGTTTTACCTGAATGGCCATTCTCAGCTCTGTGCTTGAATAAACTCCATTAAACTGGATTCTGATCCTTTCAATTATTTCAGTTAACAATGTCATTTCTATGCATATTGATTTGCCACCACAAACTTATGCAGAAACCAGGGATCATTGTGGCAGAAGGTGGTATCAACTCTCTGCCCTTCCCTCTTACAGTTCAAAAATAGTGAGGATATTTCCCGTGACTCCTTTGCGGGCCTCATGAAGGGGTGGCTCATTTACCCAGCCCACAGCTCTGAACCCCTCACGAGAGGGGGAGCACACATGAGCATGTGCAGAGGCCAGGGCGAATGAACACTGGAAATGGCTAGTTACTTCTCTCTGGTGGGAGCAGGCTCTGTGTGGGCCCTGAGGTAGCATCCAAGTGTGTTACAATGCTGATTTAGCTCTGCAGTTCGGGCGTGAGTGTCTGCGACCCTCAGAGCCCCAGAGTGTGTGTTTTGCAGTCAGTGCTCTTTTAGCATTTGTTGCCCACGGATGGCTAAGTGTTAACCAGCTCGGTGGAGGGTCAGGGTGACAGCCTTTTATACCCTGTCCTCTTGGTACTCGAGTTCTTGTTCAGTGTCCAGGAAGAATTAGGTCACACAAACGAATTGAAGGGTGGTGTATATGGAGGATTTTATTGAGTGGTGGAAGTGTCTCTTGTGGGAAGGGAAGCTAGAAGGGGGATGGAGTGCGAAGATAATCCCCTGGAGTTTGGCCATCCCCAACTGAACTCTCCTCCGGAGTCCCACCATCAAGCCATAACTCTGAAGTCAAGCTGCTTGCCTCTAAGGTCTGGCTGCTTCTTCTCTTCTCTCCTTCTCTGCAGCTCTGCTCTGCTCTCATGCCACTGGAGTTTAGGGATTTTATGGGTGGGGCGGGCACCCATAGGATGATTTTGGAAAAGGCAACATTCGGGCAGGAAAATAGGGATGTAAAGTTCTCATTTAGGGTCAGGGGTCCAGGCTTGAGGATGGAACCCTTACAAGGGACTCCACCATTTTCTACCTAGTATTTCCTTGCCTCCTGTCCATATCAATGGTAAAATGAATCTAAGGTTGAAAAGAACCCAACTGAGGCCAGATGGCAGAAAACAAAGGAAGCTCCTGGGAGAGAAAAGAAGGTCTGTTCAGTGACCCAAATGTAACACTAGAGTCAAGGTAGTTCTAGATGGGGTGATGGTTGATACATTAGTTCTTGCTGGCTTAACTATATTACTGTTATGTTTGCACATTAGGAAAAACAACTGGGGTGTGTGGGGGTGGGTGTGTGTATGTGTATACCAGGAAGAGAAAGAGAGATCAAAAGTTATAACTCTAAAGGCCCATACCAATTAGGCTGTAGAACAATCAGAGATGACCATAAAATCAGTAGGAGGAGCATATTATATTTCATTCCAAAGTTCCAATGGTGTGGAAGAGGCAAGAGCAGCAGCACCACTTTCTGTAGAGATCCTAAACTTTGAGTGTAGAATAGCAGCAGCAATTCGATTTATTTTCATGGTTTGTATAATCTTCAAAAACCAATCAGAATAATCAGGATTAACCCATTGAAGTGAGAACCCCTGCTGACTTTGGGACTTTTAAGGGGACAAGACCTGAGTGAAAGGGAGTAGAAAGATCAGACCGCTTGGGTATTTGTGTGGGTAAGGATTTAGGGTAATTATATCTAGAAAAAAATAGGAAAGAGAAGGCAAATTGAATTTATGTGGGAGCCACCGACAGATGAGATCTGGAGAATGTGGTCTATATGATTGTTCTGGATGTGTTACTTTTCTAGAGGGTAAAGCCCCTTAAGCAGTCAGCCCATTCTCTTGCATTGTCCCATCTGGCCCACCATGGCAGTGTTTCTACAACACCCTAAGAAAGGTACTCTATACTTGACTTTGCCACAGAGAAGGGAAATTTAAATGACTAAAATTATGTATGTTTGGAGCAGGGTTGCCTTATGGGAACAGATGGAAATATGTTCAGATTCTTTGTATTGAAAGATGAAGATTGAGACAGGATAGGTTCAAAATCTACCAAATTGAGATATGGATAGAGTTAACCTAGATTGTTTAGCAAAACTACAGAATACCAGAATTATAGGACATTACCCTATCCACCCCGACTCCACTCCTAAACCTTTAAAGAGGTAGTCTTGGAAACATAGAATAACAAGTAGTAGTATAGCCAAAGAATGAAGATGTTGATTTTTTTCTAAATCCCAATTGAAAGGATAATTCTGCTCCAAAAGAGATTTCTTTTTTTAAAATTTTTCTTTTCTTTTTTTTTTTTTTTTTTTTTGAGACGGAGTCTCACTCTGTCACCCAGGGTGGAGTGCAGTGGCGCGATCTCGGGTCACTGAAAGCTCGGCTCACTGCAAGCTCCACCTCCCGGGTTCACGCCATTCTTCTGCCTCAGCCTCCCGAGTAGCTGGGACTACAGGCGCCCGCCATCACACCCGGCTAATTTTTTGTATTTTTAGTAGAGACGGGGTTTCACTGTGTTAGCCAGGTTGGTCTCGATCTCCTGACCTCGTGATCCGCCCGCCTCGGCCTCCCAAAGTGCCAAAAGAGATTTCTTTAACTTTTGAGTCCTTTCCAGGCTTAGCAAGAAAGAGTGTGGTTATTGATTAATGATGTCTTTTATGCGTGTGTGTTGGGAAGAGTATCAGTAATGGTGCCACTATTCACCATGGTTGACCAAAGCTTTAGGTCAGAGTCAGCATGGAATTTCTCAAGGTCTTAGGAATCTGCATAATTTCATATGTGCTTTGTTTTATACATGATAATTTTTAAATGTACTGGGAATCGATTGAAAGAATGTTTTAGGGAAAAATATGTAGGAACAAAAGATTTAGCAAGGGGAACTTTGCCTCTATGGAACTACCTTGCAAATAATTTTTACAAGACCCTTCCCCAGGCATTTTCTAAGGGGAAAAAAAAAGCAAATTTTTTTACTTTACACACCAGTGAAGAAATTTCCTAAAGAGTTCTCTGAGGTAAAAAAAAAAAAAAAAAAATCAGGAGACTTAAAGAAGTAAACAGAGAAAGTTCATGATGGTTATGCTAGTATAGGTGGAAAAAGTTGCTGTCTGATAGGATAAGTCCACATGTCTTTGTAAGATCAGTTAAAATAAGTCCCATTTTCATGGGTCAGGAAGAAGCCTCCATTGATCTAGTAAAGTCTCATGAATAGGGGTCACTCTAGGTTCATGGTCCATAATCAGCCAACATTTTTTCTGGTAAGGAATAGTTGTGGTGAAAGACAGCATTCCATCCTAATAATGTATAGGCAAGTACTGCTGTATGAGTGAAGAATTCTCCTCTTACATTCCCAAGTGCCCATTTGGTGAGATGAACCTGTCTCTTCTCCATCAAATACAAACAGGCTTATTATGACAAGCTTCTTTGTAATGCAAAGCAAAAACCAGTGTTACTCCTTTGATGTTCTGACTTTCAATTTGAGTCAAAATAGTTTTGAGTGCAAAGCACCTGGAGTAAAGTAGCCTCCATGAAGCTGACTTGTGTTGAGAATAAGATGAGTCAGTGCCTGGCTTACCTGGGCTATGTACAGCCATGAGGATTTGTCAGCCAAGTTCACCCTACCCAAAAGTAAAAGTTACCTTTTTTTTACTCTTATTCCTCAATGTGTATTTATACCCTTGAAACAGTTTACATTCTTTCCTGTGTAACAGTAGAAATAGAGTGTATCCCACCTAAGTAGAGAAACTCTAAACCACCAGGACTAGGTCATGGCCTCTGGAGGCAAAACAGAAACCCTAGTCTCTTAACCACTTTTTCTTGGAGTATAGGTAAGTCTAGTGGAACAGAGTGGGGGAAGTTAGGAAGGAAGTCTTGATTAAGGAAGACTGAGGACAAGATATGGTAGACTGAATAAGCAGTCCTGAAGGATTTGCTCTCCTCTTCTCCTTAAAAGGATTCTATGTCCCCACCCATAGAGCCATGTGACTTGCAGTACCTCTTATACAAGGGGTATACTTTCTCCCCCGATTCATGTTGTACTTGGCCAGTGTAATATGAATCAACATGACATGTGTCACATCTAAGCAGAAGTCTTAAGCTAAATGGCATGGTATGGTTCTGGTTCTTGCTCTTTTCTCTCTCCTTGAGTATAGCACAGCCCAAATAGGGGCTGCTCCTTCACCCTGAGACCCAGGATAAGAAACTTTATAAAGCTGACTCACAGCCAGGAACAGACCCAGATCTGCAAGTATGTAACAGGAGAAAAAAATAAATCATTGCCACAAGCCACCCCAGAGTCTGGGCTTGTTTGTTACCATAACAAAGCTGACTAATACACAAGGGATATCAAGTCTGTGCCTTGGCAGAGTCTGTGCCTTGGCAAGATGAGAGGGTAGAAGAGAGGACATGGGAAACAGGTATGTTGTAACTGTTTTTTGACTATTTTGTTTCTCAGTTTTCAGGACACAGTCAGAGAAATTTTATGTCCTTGTACCAAAACAAGACAGATCTTTCATTGCTTCCCTTGGGACTGAGGCTTTACCATGACTCCAGGGGATCCAGTAGTCATTCCCTGGGGTCATTTCCTATTCCTTGGGTCCCTTAGATAGAAAAATTCATTCCAGTAGGGCTCAATATATTGGATTTACTTTTTTATCTTATCACTAATGTCTTCTCTGCAAAAACAGAGAATCAGAGCAGAATTGTTTTAACCATAGTGGGAAACAGTGCAGTTACCCAGCATAATATCTCCAGTGATTTATTAAAGTTCACTTAAATAACTACTGCCTTACAACACTTCTTTGTATCACTTTTCACTGGAACATGCGATTTTTTTTTTTAGTATTCTGCAGAATCAGGTGAGCAGATATTCTAGCACTATTACCAACAACCAGTAGCCAGTCAGCATAATAGAAGTCAGCTGAGTTTGACCTCAGGCAAAAAGTAGCTTCACATATGAAAAAAGATCCTTTTTCTATTAACATCTATTCTTCTCCTCTTTCCATTTTTCATGCTAGTGCTTCCACATATGAAGTTATCATCTATTAAGTACCCATTACTCACCAGGCATCTTGCATATTTATATGTGGTTTACAGTATATACAACAACCCTTCAAGGTAAGCAGTTATTCCCAATTTACAGATAGTCAGTAACTTACTATATAAGTTTAAGTTTTCTACTGCTGCTGTAAGAAATTTCCAAAAACTAAGAAGCTTAAAATAACATTCATTTATTATCTCACAGTTCTGTAGATCAGAATCCAGGTGTGACATAACCCAACCGGATTCTCTGCCTGGGGTCTCATAAGGATGAAACCAGGGTATTGGCAGGGTTGTGCTTCTTACAGGAGGCTTTGGGGGTGAACGAGCTTCCAGGCTCATTTAGGTTGTTGGCAGGATTCAATTACTTGTGGTTGTGGGTCTAAAATTCCCATTTCCTTGCTGGCTGTTACCCAGGAGCCTCTCTTGGCTCCTCTATCTTCAAGCCAGCAATGGTGGATCCAGTCCTTCTCATGCCTTCAACCTCTCTGACTTTCCCTTCCGCCACATTTATTCTGCCTTTCTCCTCCCCTACATCTGTCTGACCTCAGCTGCAGAAAGTTTCTGCTTTTAAGGGCTCATGTGATTAAACTGGGCCCATCTGACTATGGGGTTTTGCCATGAAAGTAACATATTTACAGTTTCCAAGGATTAGAACAGAAGTAGATGTGAACCAAGGCTTATGAGGCATGCCCTTCCCATGAATTCACTCTGCCTTTCTAACACATTTAATTTTCTAGAGCATATAATAAAAGGAAAAACAGGGAGGAAAAATGTCTTAAGCAAAGCATAAATGTATTTAGTAAATAAAGTCTGTTTCCAATTTCCAACATGATTTATACCTTTGGAATAGAGCACTCAAAATCGTCAAAGTTTCAAATAAATCAATGTTGTTGTTTCACTCCATATTCTGAAGGAGCAGTGAGAGTGTGTATTCAATATACAAACACTTTTCACAATGAATACAGATGAAAATTGCCAGAATCACTTTGCTAATTCATTCAAGACTGACTAGGCTTATTTCTGGCAGAAATGAAAGCACTTTAAACACAAAACACTCTCTTAGATCCACTAACACTACAAGGTAGCTTAAAGGTTTCACTACAACAGGCATACACTACCCCCAATTGTCAGTAATAACCAAGGCCTCATAGTATTTCTGAGAAGCTGACACATTGACTTCCTGGACCCTGAAGCAAAGTTTGTTTCGCATCTTACAATGTGTGTGAATGTAGTCCTGTAAGAGGGTCTAAGCTTGTACCACTTATCATACAACAGCCAATAAGTCAAGAGACAAAATTTTAGGGCAAGGAAGGTGACTTTATTCAGTCAGCCAGCAAACTGAGAAGGTGGTGGACTAGTTTTCTAAAATACAATCTTAAGTCAGAACAAATTTCAGGCTCTTTTTATATTAAGGGTAGGGGGAAGAGGAGGAGATTTAAGTAGAAAGACATAACCAATGACCACGGACATCTGGGTGCCAGTGAGGGTCCAAGGAGATTGGAAGACTTCTTTCTCTTGGTCATGTCACAATGTTCCTACAAGTCTTTAACATAATATTGGTACTTGTGTGTACACTCTCCTTATGTTCTCAGGGGTGAGTTTTAGGGAAGGGACTATTATCATTTTTTCTGATGGTGAACTATAAACTACATTCCTCCCATAATTAACTGATCTCCATGCAAAGCTAATTAGAAGCTTTTAACCTAAAGGATATTACTGCAGGTGGGAGGGGGAAGTCAGAGGCAAAATGGAGGGAGTCATGCTGGCCTCCCTCCACTGTAACACTACCCACACTTATCTGGATCCCAATATTGGCAGAGTCCTGTCAGAGTTAAAAGTTGTAATGTAGAACAGATGAATGGGACCAAGACAAATCACTTTTGGAGTTGAATTGGCCTATCACTAAAGCCTGCCTGCCAACATCAGGCACACCTGACATAAGTGCTTAAGAAATGCTTGCTTACAACTTTACCACTGAATTCTCATGTCCAATGATGAGTCATTGATTTATGTATTCAATATTTATATTAGGTATTCTGATGTAGCCAACACTGAGCAAGGAACTGGACGTACAGCAATGCATACCACGGTCTTTGCTTTCAAAGAGCTCATGATCTGGTTGGGAAATTTAGGCCATATAAATGTATAAGGATTACTTGCCCAAAGTAGAAATCAGTAAATATGAGTTGAATAAATAACAATAGTGAGAAACTTGTTGAACATGTAAAAAACTGCTCAACAGTATACTCATTAGGGAAATGTGAATGAGAACCACAATGGGACACCACTTCACACCCACCAGGATGTTTACAATATTTAAAAATGGAAAATAACAAGTGTTAGCAAAAATTTAGAGGAATTGGAGCCCTCACACATGGCTGGTGAGATTTTAAAATGGTGCAGCCTGGTGGTGGGCGCCGGTAGTCCCAGCTACTCAGGAGGCTGAGGCCGGAGAATGGCGTGAACCCAGGAGGCAGAGCTTGTAGTGAGCCAAGATCCTGCCACTGCACTCCAGCCTGGATGACAGAACAAGACTCTGTCTCAAAAAAAAATAAATAAAATAAAATAAAATAAAATAAAATAAAGTGGTGCAGCCATTTGGGAATATAGTTTGGCAGTTCCTCAAAAGATTAAACATAAACTTACTATATTAACTAGCAATTACACTCATAGTGGAATTTATTAAAGTTTATTTAATGGAGTATATAACTTATGGGGTATATGGCACAATGGAATATATGTACTTATAGATAGATAGACCCAAAAGAATTGAAAGGCATTCAAACAAAAATTTGTATATGAATATTCATAGAAGTATTATTCATGAGAGCCAAAAAGTAGGAAAAAACCCCAAAGTCCATCAGCTGATAAATAAACAAAACGTGGTACAGCAATACATTGGAATATTGTTTCACAATAAAAAGAAATGAAGTACTGACACATGCTACAACTTGGCTGAACCTTGAAAATATGCCAAGTGAAATAATCCTGACACAAAAAAACACATACTGTGTGATTATATTTAGAAGAAAACTCAGAAAAGCAAATTTGTAGAAACAAAAAGTAGACTACTGGTTACCACTAAATATCCAGGATAGGTAGCTAGAGAGAGACAGAAAGTAGTTTAGGGCTGCCTATGACCAGGGAAGCCAGGGGAATTGGAAGGTGATAGCTAAAGGATACAGAGTTTCTTTTGGGGATGATCAAAATATTCTAAAATTATGTCGATGGTTATATAACTATTTGAGTACACTAAAAACCACTGAATTTTACACTGGTAACTGCAAATGAGGCACCCTTTTTGAAGGTCATCCTTTGATTTCCTTCTAGGACTGCGAAAGAGTACTTGCTTAATTTGAGCACTTGGCACATCATTGCTAGTGGGGCTCAGACAGGATTTGTATTTTACCAAATATTGACATCTCTTCAAATGATGAGGATAAACAAAGCCTGAAAAATTCCCCATTCTCTTCCCTTAACAGCAATTGCTTGCACGGCAAAATCAACTCCAGACTAGAGTCTACCTTGGGGGTGACCCTGGGCTTGATCCATATCTGTCTGAGCTTCAGCTTCCTCTAGTGTATAATGGAGATGGCATCAGATAGGGTTGCTGAGAAGCACAAATGATATATGTAAATATGCTTCATACGGGAAAGACATTCACTATAATATTAGCAGGTGTTATTTCTGCACTGTATGATTATAAATAAGTTTTATTTTCTTCACTATGTTCATCTATATTTCTCAAGTTTCCAGAGAAAGCTAAAGGAAAAAATGTTACATGTTTTTATAATTTACAATGCAAATAGTAGAAGTTGTTTCTGTTTCCAAAATTGGATTAGGGAATCCAACGAAATAGTTTTTTCAGGGGGGGTGGGGCTGATTTGGGTTTGGTACACAAGAGAAAGCAGTCATGGGTAAGGAAGATGCACTAGTCATATAACCTTGAGTGAATCACTTAACCCCAGTGACTCTCAGTTTTCTTATCTGTAAAACAATTATAATACATCCTACCTCAAAAGATTTTGTGGGGATTCAATGCATGTGAAAGCATCTAGTACAAGGCCTGGCCTGTAGTAAGTGCTTGATATATCTGTTTCCTGTACCCAAAAAGAAGGAAAGAGAAAAAGAAGGGAGGAAGAGAAGGAAGCAGTTTAGGTCTATAAATTCACCCCATCTAACTTAGTGCAAGTATTTTTTGATTAATAGAGAGGGTTCTAATTGAGAAAGTGTAAAGCATTCTAAATCTTTCAGATAAAAGCATGTGTCATCTACTTCATGTCTCTAAGAAAAGTAAAATCAATATTTGAATTAATTGAAGAAATTAAATGGCTGCAGAAATAAGTTTTGAATGTAACAAGTTTCAACAAGAAAGTAGTTGGTAAATGATGATACAGAGAGCAACAGAGCACTCGCCTTTAAAACCTTCTTCATAAAAGTTCAGAATGAAAAATCAATCAATCCATTGCTTGGTAGGTACACTGGCAGATTAGCACAGCTAATAGACCTGGGGTAAACCCAAGTGCCATTATTCACCTAAAAGTTAAGCCACCTAAGGAAATGTGATTTAAAACAAACAAACAAACAAAAAAACAGATTAGCAGTTTTAAGTATTGAGCAGAATGTGTTTCGTTTCTATAGCTGTTCAGCACATAAAGTCCTAGACTGTCATTGCTGAAAGACCCCACAGATATGGAATCCAAGAACCCTCTCCTCATTTTAGAGATGGGGGAATGAGACCCAGAGAAGGAGAAATGGCATGCTTAAAGTCCTTGAGCTAGTTAAAAGAGTTGGGACTAGAGCCCAGAACTGCAGACACACACTCCTTTCTTCGTAACTCCTATTATTTGGAGTTTAATGTCTAACCAACGCAAAAGGATGGAAAGAACATATGCCTGCAATTACTGTCAAGGTCATTAGAAGGAAGACGACTTCACTACTGCTCCCATCCCCAAGCCCCACCCACTTGTCCTCTGTGAGTCTCACCTAGGATAGGGTGCCCCAGGGCTGAGCCCTGACTCCCAACAATGCTCTCTGATATTCATTCAACACATATTTCCTAAGCCCCTACTCCCCTTAAGTGCCTGCTCTGCAATGTATTTCAAGTCTAAGGGCAAGATAGGGGCAAAAATGGGAAAGCAAATTTCAAGGTCAATAGCCAGAAAGATCAAAAGCAGGATAAAACCCAGGGGGTTGAGGAAGGTTCAGAACTAAACCTGGGAGGATGAGCGGGTCTGAAACTGTCCTCATATTTGGTGGTTTGTTTGTATCCTGAGGCAAATGGTAGATTTTCTTCTTTCTTTTCTTTTCTTCTCCTTTCTTTCTCTCTCTCTCTCTCTCTCCCCCCCCCCTTTCTTTCTTTCTTTCATTTTGAGACAGGGTCTCCCTCTGTTGCCCAGTCTGGGGCTGCATCCTCAACTTCCTGGGCTCAAGCAACTCTCCCACCTCAGCCTCCCGAGTAGCTGGGACTACAGGCAGATGCCATCATGTCCTATTTTTTTTTATTATTTCTAGTAGAGACAAGGTCTCACTATGTCACCCAGGCTGGTCTTGAATTCCTGAGCTCAAGGGATCCTCCCGCCTTGGCCCCCCAAAGTGCTGGTATTACAGGCATGAGTCAATACTCCTGGCCAGATGGTGGATCTTAAAGGAGTCAAGCAGGCCAGACCTAATTCTTCACTCATGAGGTTCTATGGACTTGTTCATTGCACAGGTGTGTGGGTATTAGGGTAATCCTGGAAAAGGAGAAATTTACAGTAGCTTGTTTACTGTCTTGGTCTCATTTCAGTGATTCTAAATATAAGACATTTCTTAAAATTATATTTGTGTTTACTTTACCCTAATAAGGGGGAAACAAGTCATATGAAGCATGTTTTAAAATGTCCTCATCAGTGAGTTCTGGCCACCAAAGCTTGGATTCTTTATATTAGTTCACTCGGTCTCACTGCACAAGATAATATGCCTAAGCCAACAAAAATTAGATGCTCACTTCTTGGAACAGGTCTTAAGCATAAATAGTCCAATAAGAAATAGGTCCTTATCTCTTGCTTAACTATTTTCGGGACATGGACCAGTGAGAATTAGGAGTATGGGTCCAGTCAGAGGTCTGAATCATAATCACCAAGTGAGGGGGAACTCTACCCAAGAAGCAGGGTGCCAAGCCGACTGAATAATGGATACCCTCTATACCTTGCTACTCCAAGTCAGGTCCTCAAGCCAGCAGCCTCAGTGAACCATGAAGCTTGTTAGAAATGAAAAATCCCCCCAGACCTACTGAAACAGAATCTGCATTTATTAAGGTCTCCTGGTGTTTATATGCACATTAAAGCCTGAAAAGCCCTGGTCATACTACACCTTCATATGATAGTACTAGTATCATACTATATGTACATCATGTACTAGTACTAGTATCATACTATGTGTACATGATGCAGTATGATACTAGTACTATCTAGTATGTGATGATAGTATCATATACACCTTAGTATGATAATAACAGCAACTAGCATGTATTCAGTGCTTATTGTTTCTGTGTATTCTGCTAAGTGATTTCTACACATTTCCTTTTAGTGAAGTGGGCTTCCCTTAAGCCAGAGAGCTAGAGGCAGAAAAATGGAACCCGTAAGAGCTGATTCTCTGTTTCAAGCCAGGTTTGAAAAGGTATTATATGGTTCTGGCCTGAAGACCAGGAAGGTCTCTTGGTCTCTTATATGTCTCTAAACCTTTCTTTAAATGCACATATTTAGTGTGGAGACTGCTTGAGTCAGTTCTTTTGGAAGGCTGGCATAAACCCCAAATAGAAAAAGACTGTGATTCACTATAATGCTGGAAGTTCTAGCTAGTGCAATAAGAAAAGGAAAGAAAGTAATAGGCATACAATTCTTAAAAGATGAAATAAAGCTTAAAACTGTCCCTATTTTCAAATGACAGTATAGTCTATGAAGAAAATCTCAAGAAATCTACATAAACAAAAACAAATAAAACTCCTAGAACTAATCAGGAAGTTCAGCAAGGTTGCAGGATACAACATAGAAGAACAAAAGGATGGTAGAGCAACATAAAAATACAGCTTCTGAAATCCGAATGGACTTCACCTTCAACGAGACAGTACCCTCAGCAGTTGTGCTGTGACTCAGGGGGTCTTGGAAAGCCATACTTGCTCCTCTCTTTCTCTGTGTGCCCACTGCACTTCCTTTAATATTTTAATTCCTTTAAGAAATGAATAGGTAACTTCACCTAACCTTACTTTGAACAAAGGTAGGTATGTGGTCTTTTCCCACACTCCACAGCCCTCCTAAAATTGTGGCAATCTTCTTTGATTCTTCCAACAATCTGAGATGTAGGTTTGATTAGCATCCCAATTGTTTATGTAAGTAACCTGAGGCTCATGAGGAGTAAGCAGGTTGTCCAAGGTTACACAGCTACGAGGAGTGAGTCAGAATTCCAATACAGCTCTCCTCCGGAGCCTGTGCTCTCAACCCTCTGATACAGTTCTAGTCAATCTTTTGTCTTCACGAAGAGAGAGAAAACGAAGCTTTAATTAGACTACATTATGTCAGATCCCTAGGGTTTTTCACAACTTTAATGGAAAAAGAGAGGGCTACAATAATATCTGCCTCATAAGGACCATTTTAAAAAATAATTGAAATACCAGATTCTCACCTCTTCACTATAAAGACATTGTACCACTATGTACAGTAAAATCAGATCTTGGAATATTGGAGCTAGAAGGCCTTCCAGGATCATTTAGTTAAACTTCTTCAATTTACAAACAGGAAAATAGGTCCAGAGAAGAGTAGATCACCCTGCATGTCTAATAAACCCCCATTCCCAGAGCAGTGCTTTTTCTGTGCATACTCTTCATGTGTATGCCAAAATGTTAGTCACCACTAGGTTTCCAATTTGTATGCCTAAACAACAATTTCTAGAATAATGTCCTAGTGGCCTAAAAGCTTTTCCATATGTCGAGCTGAAATTCTGCTTCCCTCTGTCTCCCCTCAACTCCTGCCGCAATCAGTCCTAATTTGACTCTCTGGAGACATATTCAGGCATTCTTCAGACATTCCAATTTTAAAGCCAGGAAAATACCTGAGTTTGGAATATAAATTCAACAGTCTTTTGCCTCTCATGTGATCATTTCTTCATAACTTCTGCAACTTTAATTTATGCTGCACAATGACAGTTTATGCTGTCCGCTTTTCTATGGCCCAACCGATGCTTTCTTGGTCTCAAGTGACCAGTGTAATGCAATCTGACCCAGTTGGCCTTTGACCAAGACAGGCTAGAAAATCAACTATTTCCAGTAGGTGCACTACACATGTGGAGCCCCCAAGCAACACTTCCCAAAATTGCAAAATGAACAAAACTCTAGATCCCAGAAATGCAGGAATTACTAAAGAGAGGAATGCTTGTCGAGACTAGCCATCTTTTGTACAGGCCTTCTGTGCAGGCCTTTTGTACAGGCCTGACCTGTGCAGACTACAGTGACATGAAGCATCTTATCAAGCTGAGGTTTCTACCTCAATATGGGTACCTATATGGAGCTTTAGATGTCTATGATTATGTTCTAAATGTGCCTTATTGGCAGTCAAGACAACCTAACTACCTCAGCTTGGCCATAGGTTCTAGAATCTCTCAGTGGAAGGGAAAGAGGAAAGCACCATCCATTTGAAACCTCCATCCAGTGAAAGCTTTTTACCTACAATAAAAGCTCCAATAAGCTTTTTTTCTTAATAATAATAATAATCTCCAATAAGCCACCATTAGGCCCTGCTTCTGTCCAGCCCCACTCCCCTCCCTTCTCTCAGCAGACAAGGACTTGAGAGGGTAAGAGGGTCAAGGGAAGGCCATAGGGAGGGAGGAAGGTAAGGTATTTTACCTTCTCAAATTGTTTTCCCATTCTCCCCCTTCCTTTTTAGTCAAGTTTCTCCCCAAAATAGGCCATTCTTTCTACCTCTACTAATTATTTCTTAATCTCTAGAAGCCTGGCTTCTGTCTCTATCTTTTACCAAAACTGTTCTCTCAGCATCTACCAATAAGCTCCTGAATGCAAAATCCAAAGTTATTTTTTTGTTTCTCAACTTCCCAGACACCTTGGCAGCTTCTGATACTACTGACAATGTCTTTTTTCTTGAATCTCTTGTTTAAGCTTCTGGAACGCTACATGCTTTTGCATTTCCTTTCATCTCCTAGGCCGCTTCCCTGTATCTTCTTTGTTTCCTTTGTTTGCCAACAGCAAATGTGGCTATTCTCTAATATTCTCTTCTCAGCGTATTCATTATCTCCTTCGATTCAAAACTCTCTTGCTTGTAAATAACTTATAATTCCTAATCTGCAGCCCAGATCTCTTTTTCAGCTCTAAACTCATGTCTATCGGACACTGCTACCTGAATGTCACAATGGCATATCAGACTCAACATGTCCAAACCC
This sequence comes from Homo sapiens, assembly GCF_000001405.40. NCBI lineage: Eukaryota > Metazoa > Chordata > Mammalia > Primates > Hominidae > Homo > Homo sapiens. Next base: position 147,790,332 of record NC_000023.11, read on the forward strand.
ATACTCAACTTAGCCTCACCTCTGAAATTTGATAGCCCCACCGTGTGACCTATCTTAGTTCATAATACTAACATCCAGTTAGTGTCTTACAAATAAAACCCCAATCATCTAACTCTCCTTCTTTCTGCTCCACATTGCAACTCGTTTCCAGCAGAGTTGATTCTACTTGTACCATTTCTCTCACATCTGTCTCTTCCATTTTATTGTCACTGCCATCATCTCAGTTTTTAAAATCCGGGTTATACTACAATATCGTCCTAACTAATCTTTCAGTATCAAATCTCCTACCTGCAACTTTTAGAATAACTATCATGTGTTACTATTTTGATTTTGTCATTCCTCTGCTCAAACATTTTAAATTCCCCGTTGCCCAGCCCAAGTGTCAGCAAACTTTTTCAAAATGTAAACAGCAAATACTGTTGAAGTGCTATACTCAGAACTTAATTTCCCAATGTCAACACTGAACCTATGGAAGGTAATGGGCAAAGAAGAGATGTTTTGCTTTTCAGTGAAAAGTAATGACTGTAAAATTTCTGTGTTGTGAATTCATTTTTTTCACTTGCTTATATTTCTAATGTACATTATTTTATATATGAATATATTGTTATAGTCATGGACTTTATGGACTAGATCATCTCTGTCACAATTACTCAACTGTGCTGTTACAGCATGAAAACAAGCATAGGCAACTTGTAAATGAATTAGTCTAGCAGTGTTCTAATACAATTTTGTTTTCCAAAAAAAAGCAGCCAGCTGGATTTGACCCAAGGGCCATAGTTTGCCTACTCCTGATCTAGACAGAATAAGTTTACTTTTCAGGAGTTTGGCATTAAAAATCCACCATAAGTTTATAGGCCATTACTTTCCAACATAAACCCTATTTTTCTAAACAAGCTACAGATACATTGTAGTTCGCTGAACATACTTTCCCAACCCCATGCCTTTTTCCATGCTGTTCCCTCCACCTGCAGTGCTCTGCCCTTCAGTCTCTCCATCTCTTGAGGCTTTGGAATGTGGGACACTATATGTGCTGTTTGCTTTCAAGGGCCAGAAGTCAAAGCACACTAACATAGAGACACACATCATTTGCGAAGTTCGTAAGCCAGGACTTGGTAAGGTGTTCACATTAAAACACAAATTCAATATTGCTGATGAACTCAAATTATCTGCCCTGATGATTTAGCCCATACATCATGGAAATAAGGCAGGAAGTGCCATACTCAGCACTTTGTTTTCCAATGCCAATATTGAGCCTGTGGAAGGTAATAGGCAAAGAAGAGACATTTTGCTTTCCAGTGAAATGTAATGACTATAAAATCTGACTGTGTTGTGAATTCTTTTTTTCCCTCTTGCTTATACTTCTAATGTGCTTTATTTTATATATTTGTATAATATATTGTCACTTATTCTAGGACCACCAGAAATATACAGAAAGCATGCAAAGATGATTATGAATTATAAAAGACAATGTGTTATTCTTTATATACTTTCATGTATTATTTCACCTGATGAATTTTCATAAATATTACCTGTGGAGGACAGAAGACTTACTTCCATAGGATTGCCAGAAGCTAAACAAATTTAATGTGAAATTCACCTGGTACTCATTAAATAAAAGATCCATTAAAGATATACCAATTCAAAAAGATTTCCAGCTCAGTATAATCTATTTATTTGTAGAGCAAACAACCATAACATCTATATTTGCTACATGCTAAAAGTCTCCAAGAGGTCAAATTTATAAAGAGTACTCTCAACAATCAGACATTACTGGAGTCTCTGAATGTTTACCTCTTTACTTAATTAGGAAGAACTGCCATAGCTCTTAATATCTAATTCTCAATGGGAAGTTAAATATTAATACTAATTATCAATTTAATTCTAATAGTCACTAGTGACTTGTGCCCCCCAAGAAAGATATATCCCTTGAGAAAATCTTATAGTACACAAAATGCATTTTTATTGTCAAGCATTTCAATAACTGTTTTTAGGTCTGTATAACAAATACTGCAGTGGACCCAACTCTCTTAAGTTAAACTAATCTTGATGGCACAAGAAAAATATGGTGTATGTTAAATTGATTCAAATTATATAAAACTCAAGAGAACATCAGTAAGACTCTCTTCCTCAGGATTAAAAAAAACGTTGAAAGAACTTTGATATGGGCCCTAAAGCCAAAACCATTGTGTACAAACTTTGGAAAAGAATGCAGGATTGTCAGGTGGCAAAATAGCACTGCTACCTAGAGGTTTCTCTGATCTAATTTTTTTCCACTGATACTCCAAAAAATCTTTTAGGGAGGATAAATTGAATGGCCTGACCTAGAAATTAGGGCAGGAGATCCATAATACCTTTATTAAGTATACACACATTAAAAGAAACTCTTTCATAGGTTATTTGGCAAATAGCATCCCCAAAGCCTGCTGCTTTTGAAAGTGAGGATGTACTAAAATGTCACTTTTTAAAAATGTCACTATTGCCCACAATCCCTGGAATTTGCACACACATTTTTCTGTAGAAAGTTTACATTATGCCTAATGTGTCTAAATGCAAAGGGTTATTATGAGATTAGAGAGAAAATTGTTCATGATTGTTCACCAGCCCAATTTGAGTTTTGACCAAGTTTCTGAATTTGTCCAACTTCACGTTTTTAAGAAATGTAAAAGAATGTAACTCACACTGAAGAGATGCTGTATTAGACGGTTTTCACATGGCTACAAAGAAATATCCAAGACTGGGTAATTTATAAAAGAATAGGTTTAACTGACTCACAGTTCCACATGGCTGGGGAGGCCTCAGGAAACTTGCAATCATGTCATCATGGTGGAAGGGGAAGCAGGCATGTCTTACATGGCAGCAGACAAGAGGGAGAGCATGCAAGAGCAGGGAACTGTGCCTTATAAAACCATCAGATCTTGTGAGAAATCACTATCACGAGAACAACATGAAGGAAACTGCCCCCATGATCCAATCACTTCCCTCCCTCAACACATGAGGATTACAATTCGAGATGAGATTTGGGTGGGGACAAAGAGCCAAACCATATCAGATCCTCTCACAAAATGTTGAGGTGGATATGAATTAAGATTCAAGTTCGTTATAGCACTCTCCATATTTTTATAATCTATTTTTATTGCCTGGGCCTTTTATGTGAACCGTCCTGGATACAAGGTTATTACAAATCATGTTTTCAGTTGCCATAGTGCTTTCTATTTTAAAACAAGTAAATGTAGCTATCTCTTTAACAAAAACATTTTTCTCTAAGGAATTGGTAGATCCGTAATGTATTGTGCACGCCAGAGAGGTCTGCTTGATAGGAGAATTCTGGATGGACCAGAAAGAAGGGAAGTTCAAAATATTATTGTCTTCCTTCTATTCTGTTAGTTGCCATTGTCATATCACTTTCTTAGAACTATGATTAATATTTCTGTAATTTTTTGGTGAGATGTAAGTACTGTGAAAGATATTTGTTTTTAATTTTTAAATAAAATAAATGAGCACCCACAGGGAGAGGTCAGCAACAGAGATTTGTGTGCTAGTCCTTGACCTAGATTCTTCTTCTTAGTCATCTTGCCTGTACAAGGCATGATCAACTTCTGGTCAGCATCTCGCCATCTAGCTTGGTGACAGGGTTTGCACAGCTCTTTGGCTTTGAACACACCACTCAGATCTCCTAATTGGCAAGGGAGAAGGTATAGAGGTGGCCGAAACCCAAAGAGGCTACGCTTTCATTGTCTGCTCAGTCTGCTACCAACATTCTGACCAGTGCCTCCCAGACTCCAAAACCAACCCCATGCTTCCGTGGGAGAGAAATTGTGAGTGCTCATCTTCTGACTATGCCTGAATTGATAACTAACATATCTAACTCATATCTAACTACTCCTTCACCTTTTTTTCTTTCTTTCTGGCACCAAGAATGGGGAAGATTCATTTCCCACTTTCAGACATAGGACAGTCAGGGAAGGTTTCAATTAGTCCGTGGTCTAGTTATTGCTTATCAGTGATCACCAAGGAAGCTTCCCTCTGCAGCTGAGTGCTGGAAACTCCTTGGACCACACAAGACTGTTAATGGTGTCCTGGAAACTCTCACTTCACTTCAACTTCCTTAACTAGCTGACATCTGTCATCCCAGGCACAATAACGTTTCCTCAAAAATAATGTAAATGGACAAGAAATTCAAGAGAAATTAATTTTTTAACCATATCCAAAACCTCTATTTAACAAATAGCAATTCAGAGGATGAAAGATGAATGGCACGACTTGGCAGAATTAGACCAGTGCTGGAGTTAAGTTTACTCAGGGTTCCCTTTGAAGGCTTTGACCATATTGCAGGCTTGGCTTCTAGGGGAAGCACTTGCTACCACACTTTTGGCTCCTTTGGAATTAGTGAAGGTACAGGAACTGTATGAGATAAAAGAGAGGCAGACAGCTAATCATCAGAGGCAGTATGGCAAGGTGATGGGGATACTATAAGAGAAAGAAATCATTAGTGGGAAATTTTTCCATAGTTAACCAAGGAGTTTGTGGTATGAATCCTCTCTTCCGTGTTTGCTATGAAATCTTCAGTAATATCCTTACCACACACTACCATATTTGTGGAAGTGGATATTTTAGGGGAACAAGATGAGGAGTTGAATCCTACATCCAGGATTGTTTAGGGCAAAACAAGACATGCAGAAGCCAAGGAACAAAATGAAAGTTCATATTTTGCTTATACAGGCAAAATAAATAGAAGGAATACAGATTAGAAGGAAAGAAATCTCTATCTCATGCCATGATTTTGGTGAAAGGGCTCTTTGCAGATATATACGAATCCCTGGACCAGGTTGATGCAGGCATCTAAAGTGTTCCCCAGAACCTGAAAGTGAGGATGTACATTAAAGCAAATCCATTTCTCCTTTGGCAGAGAGCCCAAACCCAATCAGGTTGAGAAGGACTGAGTCCATTATTGTACACCCTCAAAACTCTAGGATTACCTTTCTGTGTGATCCTCTGGGTCACATATGCTAGCTCATCTTACTCTGTTCCTTTGATTTCCCTGATAGGTAATTTTGTAGACCCCAAGGGCTAGATTGTGACAGTCTTTCTTTTAAAGACAAACACTTGGGTACTTCTGGATGTTCAGCAAATGTTCTTGAAAACACTCTGTGTTTTCAAAACTATCTTGGAACAAAATATGAGTGGAAATGTGTCATCCCAGTCCTCTCTCCAGCACCCTGCCCCTGAGATGTATTGGTCTTGATCCAACTGCCCCTGCTATGTGCCCATTCTTTCAAGGACTGCAAGGGAAAACATGTCTTGGCTTCAGCTGAAGAGCTGTCTCTTCCCAACCCTTAACTCTGGACCTGAAATGCAGGTCTCATCAAACTTACACCTTTTTCATAACATCTGTGGTTGGCAGAATAATGCCCTCCCTGCAAAAGATGTCCAATTTCTAATTCACAAAATTTGTGACTATGTTGTGATATGTGACAAAAGGGACTTAGCAGATGTGATTGAGTTAAGGAAATTAAAATCGGGGATTATCCTGGATTATTTGAGCGAGCCCAATAACAACAGTCTTTATATGGGAAGGAGGGAGGCAGGAGGGTCAGAGTCAGAGAAGGAGACGTGAAGTTGAGTGATGTGAGGAAGGAACCATGAACCGAAGAATGCAGGCATCCTCTGGAAGCTGGAAAATGTAAGAATACAAATTCTCTCCTAGAGTCTTTAGAAGGTACCAGCCCTGCCAACACCTTGACTTCAGCCCAGTGAGACTCAATCTGGACTACTCAGCTGCAGAACTATAAGAGAATAAATTTTCATTGTTTTTAGCCACTAAGTTTGTGGAAATTTGTTACAGCAGCCATGATAAACTAATAAAGCAGTGTGTAGCCATTTGAACTTGGGAAATGTGTACTTCCTAACAAAAGGAAACAGAAAAAGGTAAAATGCGCATTGCTTATTGAACACCTATTTTATGTCAGGCGCATACCATGCATAATCTCATGGGCTTTTTATAACGAATCAGTGGATGTATTCCATTTATCAGATAGAGAAATGGAGCTTTAAAAGTGAAGAAATATGTTCAAGATGTTATCGTTGCCATGTGTCATGCAGCCTGGGCGACAGAGCAAGACTCCATCTCAAAAAACAAAAAAAAAACAAAACACACAAACAAAAAAACCTTTATCTAGGAGTCGCCTTTTATAATCGAGTCTTATATTTATTTACATTTACAGAGCAAAGTGGATTCCCTGGACTATTTTCTATCTCAAACATATGCCACCATCTTGATAAGAGGTCCTCTTCCAGAATTCAGTAAATAAAGAGAACCTGTCTGGTAGCTGTTGTTAGTCGGTAGAAAGGAATATGCACAGGGAACCACAGGAGGACAAGCTCAATCCTATGAGGTAGACGCTAGTACAAACCAGCTTGTGATAGAGAATATAAGACACAAGAAGCAGCATTTTGCTTAAAGCTTTGGATATTTCCATAGCATCCATCAACATCTCAGGATACTTCCCAGGAAATAGAATGTAATTAATATGAAGATATAATTTTCTCAATCGCACAGTGACTGGACTATCTGAGGCAACTATGTGGCAACAGATGGGTGAGGCCTGCTTGGAATCAAGCCAAAGAAGTGAGAGTTGGAATGAGTCCCAAGTCTGTAGCCTTGCCTGAGCACAGGGGCCCTGGTCATCAAAAACTACTACTAATAATAATAATTATCATCTCATTCCTAGTGTCATCAACTGTGACAGCTGATGGCACTGACCATGAAGGCCATCAAATTTTCTCTGCTCTGAGTTTACGCTCCCCAGGTCACCTCCTGCTAGAAGCTTTGCTTCCTTTTGTATAGTTTTCTAAAGGGCAGAGAATAGTTTCAGTTTCTCAGTTTAAATTCTGTGTTTCCATCATGGTCTATACTGTTAGGGTCTCATCTTAAAAAAATAGTTTTCTATTCAGATGTGTTGAGTCTATGGGGAAAAAATCGTTTTCTGTTTTGGGCTCCACGCTTAACCCCTGATTAAGACAACCTAGTTACTATTTCTTCCTTTTTGATCTCCTGGGCCCCTGCATGCTTTATCTAGTGCCATTTGGTTGCTATCTATGGTTCATTTGCCCCCAGATAGTTTACCTTCTATCTAGCTAATATGCAGAAGTTCTAAAATCCTGGACATTTGACTGATTATTGATGCTGGGTAAAGAAGAAGGGCCCAAGTCAATCACGAAGGTGACTGGTCTTTAAAGCTCCATCCTGTAGGTCCTTATAAGCAGAGCATCAACAAGAGGAAAACAACATCCTGAACAAATATCTTCAAATTATAAAATATGAGTGCTAGTTTGGATTTAGGTGCAAAACATTAACATCCCAAGTCCCATTGTGCTCAAGGCACTGTGACATGCATAAAGTCTTTGCAGAAGCTGGGAAATCACGCAGGTATTTGTTTTCTTTTATACTTCCTCCTCTAGACCCTAAGAGCTAGAATTCTTGAAAAGACTGAGAACTCTATCAGTCTCTTGTGAATCTGGTTAACTGAGTCAGCCCCCATAGCTTGATTTCCTCGGTGTTCACTGACCCATTCCAAGCCCTGAACCGATAAGGCCAGGAACCAGACCTAAAGTTATTGGGACCTCACCAAGGAATGTCACTGTATGAGGCTAAGTATCTCTTGAACTTATATTATTTTTAAAATTCTGTTTACTTTTTATTGTTCTTTTTATTGATATGTAATATTTATATATATTTATGGGGTACATGTGATGTTTTACTACATGCATAGAATGTGTAATGAACAAGTCAGAGTATTTAGGATATCCATCACCTCAAGCATTTATCGTTATATGTAGTATGGTATATATCAAGGCCTCACTTGTAGCTATTTTGAAATATACAATACATTGTTGTTAACTATAGTCATGCTACTCTACTATCAAACATTAAAATTTATTCTTTCTATCTAACTGTATGTTTGTACCCATTGGCCAACCACTTTTCATTCCCCCATCCCACCCACTCACTGTTCCTAGCCTCTGGTATCTGTTGTTCAACTTTCCACCTCCATGAAATCAACTTTTTTAGATACCACATACGAGTAAGAACATAAGAAATTCGTCTTTCTCATTTATGCAGCCAACAAACTTATGAAAAAAACCTTATCATCACTGATCATTAGAGAAATGCAAATCAAAACCACAATGAGATACCATCTCACACCAGTCAGAATGGTGATTATTAAAAAGTCAGGAAACAATAGATGCTGGTGAAGCTCTGGAGAAATAGGAACACTTTTACACTGTTGGTGGGAATTAAATTAGTTCAACCATTGTGGAAGACAGTGTGATGATTCCTCAAGGATCTAGAACAAGAAATTCCATTTGACCCAGCAATCTCATTACTGGGTATATACCCAAAGGAATATAAATCATTCTACTATAAAGACACATGCACATGTATGTTTATTGCAGTACTATTTACAATAGCAAAGACATGGAACCAACCCAAATGCCCCTCATTGATTGACTGGTTAAAGAAAATGTGGTACATATACACTATGGAAATACTATGCAGCTATAAAAAAAGGATGAGTTCATGTCCTTTGCAGGGACATTGATGAAGGTGGAAACCGTCATCCTCAGCAAACTAACACCAGAACAGAAAACCAAACACTGCATGTTCTCACTCATAAATGGGAGTTGAACAATGAGAACACACGGACACAGGAAGGGAAACAACACACACTGGGGCCTGTTGTGGGGTCAGGGGAAAGGGGAGGGAGAGCATTAGGACAAATACCTAATGCATGTGGGGCTCAAAACCTACATAACGGGTTGACAGGTGCAGCAAACCACCATGGCACATGTATACCTATGTAACAAACATGCATATTCTGCTCATGTATCCCGAGACTTAAAGTAAAATTAAAAAAAAAAAAGAAATGTGTCTTTCTGTATTTGGCTTATTTTACTTAACATAATCACCTCTAGTTCCATCCATGCTGCATCAGATGACATGCTTTCCTTCTTTCTATAGCCAAATAATATTTCATTATGTAAATATACCACATTGTCTTTATCCAGCCACTGATGGACATTTAGGTTGATTCCAAATCTTTGTTATTGTGAATAGTGCTGCAATCAACATGAGGGTGCATGTATCTCTTTGATATAGTTATTTCTTTTCCTTTGGATACACAGTAGTGGGATTGCTGGATAGTATGGTAGTTCTGTTTTTTGTTTTTTTGAGAAATTTTCATACTGTTTTCCATAATGGCTGTGTACTAATTTCCACTTCCACCAACAATGAATAAAAGTGCCATTTTCTCCACATTCTTGCCAACATCTGTTATTTTTTGCCTTTTTTATAATAATGATTTTAACTGGAGTAAGATGATATCTCATGGTTTTGGTTTGTATTTTCCTGATGATTAGTAATATTAAGCATTTTTTTCATATACATGCATATGAAGAGACCATTTGTATGTCTTCTTCTGAGAAATGTCTATTTGGAGTGCCCATTTTACATTGGATTATTATTACTATTATTGCTATTTAGTTGTTTGAGTTCCTTGTATTAATATATCTTGGATATTAACCCCTTGTCAGATGTGTAGTTTGCAAATATGTTCTCCCATTCTGTAGTTTGTCTTTTCATTCTGTTGATCGTTTCCTTTGCTGAGCAGAAGCTTTTTAATTTTATGTAATCTCATTTGTTTATTTTTGTTTTTCTTGTCTGTACTTTTGAAGTCTTATCCAAAAAATCCTGAAAAAGAAGTCAAGGAAACAATCTCATTTACAATAGCTACAAAAATTTAAATACATAGGAATACATTTAGCCAAGAAGGTTAAAGGCCTCTTGAGTTGATGAAAGAAATAGAAGATGACACAAACAAGTGAAAAGACATCTCATGATCATGGATTGGAATAATTAATATCATTAAAATGATCCTATTACCCAAAGCAGTCTGCAGATTCAATGTGATCTTTATCAAAATACCAATGACATTCTTCACAGAAATAGAAAAAAGAATTGTAAATGTATATGGAACCCCAAAAGAGCCCTAATAGCCAAAGCAATTCCAAGCAAAAAGAACAAAGCTGGAGGCATCACACTACCTGACTTGAAAATATATTACAAGGCTATAGTAACCAAAACAGCATGGCATTAGTACAAAAACAGACACACAGACCAATGGGGCAGAATAGAGAAGCCAGAAATGAGCCCATGTATTTACAGTCAACTGATTTTCAACAAAGGTTCCAAAAACATGCACTGGGGAAAGGACAGTCTCTTCAATAAATGGCGCTGGGAAAACTGGATATCCATACCCAGAAGAATAAAACAAGACCCCTATCTCTCATCATAAATGTAAGAACCAAAACTATAAAATTACTGGAAGAGAACATAGGGCAAACACTCCAGGACATTGGTCTAGGCAATGATTTTTTGGCTAAGACCCCAAAAGCACAGGCAACAAAATATTAGGCAAATGGGACTACATTAAGGCAAAAAGCTTCTGCACAGCAAAGGAAACAATCAACAGAGTGAAGAGACAACCTGTTGAATGGGAGAAAATATTTGCAAAATCTTCATCCAACAGGAGACTAATATCCAGAGTATACAAGGAACTCAAATAACAACAAAAAAAGAACTTTTGAGCCTAAAGATGGCTGCCTTAGCATGGAAAGGTGCCATGGTGCTTCATACAAGTATCAGTAGGCCGGTTGCTTTTGTTAGCAAAATTCCTTGGACCGCAGCGTCAAATCAGCTGATGGTGTCTTTGCACAGTTTGGCCATATCCAAAAATGTGTTGTACCTTTTGACAAGGAGACTGGCTTTCACAGAGGTTTGGGTTGGGTTCAGTTTTCTTCAGAAGAACTTCAGAATGCACTATAACAGGAAAATCATATTATAGATGGAGTAAAGCTCCAGATTGGAGCTCAAAGGCCAAAAGTTTTGTAAACATCTGATGAAGAGAAAGATTTTTGAGACTATTTCAGCCTATTAAATAAAGTTAACATAACTGAGAAAAAAAACTTTATTCTTAACTGCTAGAGTCGAGGAGGAATTTAGAAGGGGATCTGGAGTCCACCAAAGAAAATGTTGGCATTTCTATAACATTAAAATGCGAATGTAAATGAGATCTCATGGAACTCCTCAGGCCAATTTTATAAATATACAGTCTGAAGCCTAGAAAAGTGATGTAACTTGCTCAGGGTCACAGGGACTTAACTGCAAAACCAAGCACTTCAGCTTAGCTCTCCTGGCTTTCCAATATGCTTTCCACCTCATCATATTGCCTCCTGTGTCCAGGTTGCTGTGAGTGACCTAACCCTAAACATAGTCAAGAAAGAGCAAAGGAAGAAGAAACAGTGGGAGCCTGAAAGCCCTGCGGCTTTTTTAAAACCCTAAATAAGACTGGTTTAAGCAGTCTTTTTTTGGTTGAAACAGGAGAATGGACCCAAGGGATAGCCAGTCAGTACCCCTCTCTCACTGGTGGCCCTGAAAGTATATCCAGAGCCCCCTAGGACTCCATAGAACATATCTGGAAAAGGGCCACAACTGAGTAACCCTTGAGAAGTCTCTTTCCCATTCTGGACTTCAGTTTCCTCGGTTGCAAAATGAGAAACATATACTAGACAATCTGCAGTTAAATTCTCTTTGAGGTAAATGTTCATTCTTTCATATTGCTTCCTCATCCCGTTGATCCCTCTTCCTGTTGAAAAGGGTGGCTTAGTTCATTTCACAATGGAAGGAGAGAAATTAACCTCAGATCTCCCTGATGTTTTCTGATTCTTCTTTTGTCTCTGTAGAGGAATGTCTGGATTGGTCTGGTCCTGGAACCGTTGATCACTAAAAACTGGTCCCGGCCGGGAGTGGTGGCGCACGCCTATAATCCCAGCACTTTGGGAGGCCGAGACGGGTGGACCACGAGGTCAGGAGATCGAGACCATCCTGGCTAACATGGTGAAACCCATCTCTACTAAAAATACAAAAAAATTAGCCAGTCGTGGTGGCGGGCACCTGTAGTCCCAGCTACTCGGGAGGCTGAGGCAGAAGAATGGCATGAACCCAGGAGGCGGAGCTTGCAGTGAGCAGAGATCGTGCCACTGCACTCCAGCCTGGGCGACAGAGCAAGACTCCATCTCAAATAAAATAAAATAAAATAAAATAAATAAAAAACTGGTCCCATCTGGCCTTTGAGGTTTATACATTCATTCTTGGAGCCCATTTATCACAATATTAAACTACCTACCTGCAGCCAATTATTTGGCCTTACCTTGGGCTTCTCTTGGCCTTCCCATATGTGAGATATCCAGAAATTTCTGCATCTGCTGCATACCATGTAAAGGTCATGAAAAGCCAAGTTTCTATCTAGTTACCTTCCTCATTACTGTCACTTTCCCACTAGACCAAGGGCTCTAAACAGGGAATGAGCAGGGAACGTTATTTGCTCTGTGTAACAGCCTTCCAACTCCAGGACTTGAGCCTATAGGGGGTGGTCAGGGCTCGTGTTTCTCACCTAGTTCCTCTCCATCAGACGTCTTTCTCTTTAAAGAATTAAACCCACTTAGAAAGGGTTAGATTTATCTTCTTTCCTTTTCCTTTCCAGTAGGGACTTCCCTTATGTTATACCCAATTCCTTTTTCTGGGGTGCTAAGGCTAATTACTAAGCCTTAATGATGGAAAGAGTAACCTTTACCTATTATGGAAGAAATCCTACTATCTGTGTTGGCCAAGCATAGCTTTTGATTCAGAAACCTTAGAATGACAAGAAACTGAGATTACAAAGAAAGAAAATATATTTGCTTAATATTCCCAGAACAGTAAGTCTATCACACAGATTAAAAACAGATGTTGTAATTGAAGCAGGAGAATGGAGCCAGGGGATAGCCAATCAATACGCCTGTCCAACTGGTGGCCCTGAAAGTATTTCAGTACCCACCAGGATCCCATAGAACATATTTGGAAAAGGACCACATCTGGGTAACCCTAGGGAAGTCCCTTTCCCTTTCCAGATTTCAGTTTCCTTGATTGCAAATGAGAAACATAAACTGGATAATCTTGAGTCATATAAAATGCTGTAGTTAATCAATTTTTAAAAAAAGAATCCCAGGAAATATCTGCTTGGAACTAAGGCTTTACTAGGCAAAACTGTTTCTTTGTTGATGATTCAGGAGTCACTGAGAATCTTTGGTTCCTCTAGGTCAATAGGAACATCAGTCCTCACTGTCTTGGAGCTGCAGCAAAGTATAGATTCATAGAAATTTCCAATTGATTGAATGCCAGATAAATCAGCTTTTGCAGCAATCAGATACATCAAACTACCTTCTATTTACTCTCCCCTGGAACTTTATTTTAAAAATTGACAAGATTTGTGTTTGTAAATTAATTTGCAAGTTAGCCCACGTGATTCATTTTTATTTCCCAATCCTGAATTCTTTTAGGATTACGTATCTGGTGTTGCTATAAGAAATTAATATACAATGAACTTTTTATCTGAGGATGTTGCATGTGAAACCTCTCTGTGGAAGGAGAAAGTACTAGAAATTTTCTTTGATTTGACTGTTCAACAAGTAAAATCTTTCTACAATGAACATCTTATTTTTCAGTTTGAGATTTTATTTTGCTAAGGTAAAATGAAGCTCTAAACTTCATTAGAATGTATTTGTTGGCTCTTGAGGGAAACAAAATAAAGACACCTGCAGGAAAATAACAACCGAGAACCTTTTTCTCTGTAGTAAAAGTCACTCTTCATTTCAATCTGTAAAGGTCAGTCCTTGTTGGAAACAACAGTATAGGTTTATCTACAGTGAGATAGCAGCTCCCCCATGAGGCCTCATCTAGAATTGTGAGAAGAAATAACAGAGATACAGGCAGAACTAGGGTTATATCACCGTGAATTTGTGCCTTGAATCTCAGTATGTGTGTGAGTGAGGGGTGGGTGGAAGGGTGAGAACAGCAGGCTTTGAGCTAATGCTTCTTTGGAAATATCCTGTTCTATTTTTGGTTTAATTACATAAAATTCTCTGGTTGAAAATGAAACTAGATTCTGGGGAAATATTAACAAACTGCAGACTCAAACATTTTAAAATTTAGACCATCCATCGACTGTAGCAACTATTTCTAAAGGCAATTAGAGAGAAAGAGAAGAGGGAAGGGAAAGGGGTGGGGGAGGAAGCAATGAGCAGATGAAAGTCAGAAGAAAAGAGACAGGAAAGAGCAAAAGGGGACAGAAGAGGGAGGAGAAAAGGGGGAAGAGAGAGATTGGGAGAAGGCGGGAAGAGAGACAAAGAGAAGGGAGAGAGAAGGGTAAGGTAAAGGGGAAGGTAGAAAGAGATAGTAGAAGGCAAAAGAAAAATGACAGGGATGCTGGACACAGTGGCTCATGCCTGTAGTCCCAGCACTTTGAGAGGCCGAGGCAGGAGGATTGCTTGAGGCTTGGAGTTGGAGACCCGTCTGGGCAACATAGTGAGACCTCATTTTCACAAAATTAAAAGAAAATTAGCCAAGTATAGTGTCTGTGGCCTGTAGTCTCAGCTACTCGGGAGGCTGAGGCAAGAGGATTGCTTGAGCCTGGGAGGTCGAGCCTGCAGTGAGCCATGATAGTGCCATTGCACTCCATCCTGGGTGATTGAGTGACACTCTGTCTCTAAAAAAAAAGAAAAGAAAAAGGACAGCGAGAAAGGGGAAAACCAGAAGCCTGACTGCACAAGGTCAGCACCTCAGCTTTGCTCTCTCAGGAACTCCGTTTTCCCAGAGTCATTCATTCTCTTGAAGACCTGATTCTGGCCAACAAAGTTAATTGATAAAGCAGAAACCAATGGATTCGTGTTCTGAGGAGAAAATAGTTCTCTGGTGTGAAACCAGTGTGTGCAGCCTCATTAGTAACAAGGTAGCTGGGAAAGCAAAGTTTCTGAAGGTAACTTTTTTTCATTATGAAATGACAACAAAAAGACTGACCAAGTTGCTGGGCCATTGTTTACAGGCCAGAGAAGGGTCAGAGAATTAATCATCCCACCCAACTCCTGGATACACCTTGGAAGAAGCAGAGTTGTGTGCAGGACACAGTGTTTGTCTCCCTTGGCCAGGACTGGCTTGAGTCACCCTAACAAATTCTTTCTTTCTGGTGCTCTCTCCTTTTTCCTACCGCATTCATGTCTCACTTCTTGGATGACAACACAACCCCACCTGGGATAACTTCCAATGGGTCTATTTGGTTAAAGTCAGAGATTACTCTAGTCTCATAGGAGACCCTGAAGACAACTGGGGCTCCTCTTGCTACACACCCAGGTCCCAGCAGGACCAATGCCCAGCTACCTGTCAGGGTGCCTTACTGCTGGCAGACCTTTTCGGGACCCATTTGTTCTCACTTGATTGCATTTTGTTTCTTCATCACAGAATGACGAAAATGTGGTTCCTACCTAGTTGGCCATTGCATGCCACTTAACTGGAATGCCCTAAAACCATCTTAAAGGACCCAGATGGGGAAAGACCTAGAGTCTTATAGTTGATTAGTAACAGAGCTCTGGCCTTGTTTTCACACTGCCTTGCTAGCTACACCACCCTGGTTTACGCAACAAATTCTGCTCTAGCCATCCTCTGGCTATGCCCTTTCTCTCAAAGGGTAAAGAGTTCTCAGAGTTAAGAGGAATGTGCCTCCTTGGAGCCCATGATCAACCCTTTCAACTGTCAGTTTGGGCACCCAGGACCCAAGAACTCCCTTCCTAAATTGCCTCGGTCTGCTTCCAAGGCCTGCTCAGGCCTCTTCTTGAAGGTTGTTCTCCTGGAGCCTATCACACCAAGACATGTGCATCCCTAGAGCTGAGGGGCCACCAAGGCATCGCCACTTGGAAAGGACTTGAATACATCACCTGGGGGATCCAAATGATTCTGCATGAGATCCCTCATGAGGTGGGCTGAGCTAGGGTGGGAAGAGAAATGTGCTATCATCTTCTGACCCAGAGCTCTGAGCAGTCTGAGAGTTCTAAATTGAATCCTGCCCATCAAGACTGCTATGAAGGTATATTTGTCAAGGCAAATAGATAGAACATACAGTCAGCCCTCCACATCCTCAAGTTCCACATCCATGGCTCCAACTAACCACGGATTAAAAATATTTAAAAAAATGGATGGTTGCTTCTGTAGTGAACATTTACAGACGTTTTTCTCCTTTTCATTATTCCTTAAACAATACAGTATAACAACTCTTTACATAACATTCACACTGTATTAGGCATTATAAGTAATGAAGAGATGCTTTAAAGTATACAGGAGGATGCGTGTAGGTTATATGCAAACATTACACCATTTTATATCAGGGATTTGAGCATCCACGGATTTTGGTACCTGCAGGAGTCCTGGAAACAATCCCCATGGATACCAAGGGACTACTGTATTTTATTTAGTACTCTGTTAGCATGATTCAGAACTTTTAAATATTTAGATAAAATGATTCATAGGCTTTCATTTAACCCTTTTCCCAGATTCTACAACTGTCAGGAGTGGGCCTACCCTCATATGCTCAGTATAGATGACTTTCCAAAAATGATATAGAAATGTGATTTTAATTCCAAATGCAATATTTCTTTTCTTCAAATATCTTTCATGTTTGAAATATATATTCAAATCTAAGAAATCTACAAGACTCTGTTATGACCTAAATGTTCGGGGTATGTTTTATGGAAGCCCTAACGAACTAATACAAGCTCTTAGAGGGAGAAATTAAAAATGAAAGTCTTTGGTGTATTGACACTCATATACTCAATATACAAAGAAAAACTGTCTCATCAAAAACAGCATAATTTCCTTCTTTCACATGATCTAAGATTTTCAGTAATGTCATTTGCTCTGCATTCAGCTCCTTTCACTTGGTCTTTACCATTCATTGCCCTCTCTCTTTTGGACAGACAATATTATAACTGCAAGTTACTTGCAGATATTTTCTAGGAAAGGAAAGGAAAGGAGAGGAGAGGAGGGGAGAAAGGAACTTTATAGTTTTAGAGTATTCAATTACTCCACTGCAAAAACTACAATGGTGGCAAGTAGTTAGGTGTACAGTTGATAACCTTTTAGATTCTGTCTTACTTTTGGACCAGGAAGCCATCTGTTACTAGAATCTTTTTGTAATTTAGGTCAAAGAGAACTCTTTAGTCAGCTTTTGTTTCTTTCCCTCTCTTTTGCACAGTTAAAATTCCAAAACATGTCATTCAACACTAGAAATAAGCTTCTGACCTGACTGGATATATCTGTCTGGGTTTTCAGGAACAGAATATCCAAGAGAATTCATAATTTGTTTTGCCACTTTGCTGGTTTCTAGTTCTGAGGTAGATTTAGTGTCAGAGTTTAAACTTTCAGGTGCCATTCTTTCTGCATTACTTGACAGAACAATTCCTAATTAATGCTGTAACCATCACCACTTCTCCATTAATTATTTTTCCTGTCAGATGATTTTCTCTTTTGCATGTGCACACACACACAATCACACCCTAAACAAAACAAGTGTATCCAAAAATAGAGGCAGAGGAGAAAGGAGAGCAGTTGCCAGTCACATAGTCTACCATGTTAGTGGCACTCCCCAGAGTCGTTTGGTCTCCAGTCTGCACCATATGAAGCAGCCTTGGAGAGAAGGAGATGACAGGGAGGAAAAGAAAGTTCAGGAGTTTGAGTTCAGGATTTCTGAGTTGCTGAAAACCTGACACCCTCAGACTAACCAGACAACACAAATGTTAATTCTATCTTATCACAAGCTTAAAATTCAAGGAGTCACAAAAACTTATGATTAATTTAAAAAGACATCTTTACTATGAAACTTTATACTTCAAGTAAGTGTGTATATATCTATCTCATACTCAGTAAGTACATTTACACCGTATTAGACAATTATCTAGCCAATTTAACCAATGAAGAAAACCAAATGTGATGATTTAAATGAAAAAATGTATGTTAGGACCATCATTAATTAATTCATGAACAAATAAGGTAGTGAAAAACTAACTTTGGAGCCCAAAAAACCAGGACTGAAATCTTAGATCATCTATTTAACACCTGTATAGCTTTGGACAAGTCACTTAACCTGAGCATCAGTTTATTATCTGTAAAATGGCAGCAATGATACCAGCTTTGCACAGTTAGGGGGATAGTTTATAGTCCTGTGTATAGGCACTTAATAAACAGTATTTATCCGACATGATTGCATGCTACAGCAAGAGCCACAAGGTATCAGAATGCTAAAGAGGAAAAGGTGTTAGGAGTTAAGTCGCTATGGGGTCTGGTCTATGCTAAGGAGAGCACTAGGCTGCTAAAGCCCCATCACACTGACTTCCTGAGACACAGATCACATCACAAGACCCCTGATTTTACATTAAGTCCTTCCTATGTAGTTTATCCAGGGACCAAGATTATGGCTTTTGGAAACGACTGTGTTTTGAGCTAGGACCAGATGGAGACAGCCAGATTTGGGAGAAGGAGGGTCTCCACAGTGTAGCCCTTCTTACCACCTTCCCTTGGCCATGCGTGCACTTTATTTTTCTGCCACATTGGCCGCATGCTGTTCTCATCACTAGACACCTGGCAACTAGCAGACAACAGACTTTTCTGGAAAGCCAGTCAGTTTGCATTG